>NC_000015.10:37519298-37822328 GCF_000001405.40 Homo sapiens | reverse complement strand
GGTTAGCAAATTATAGCCCAGGGGCCACATTTCACCTTCTGTCTCTTTTTTGTATGGCCTGCAAACTAAGAATGATTTCCAACCATTTTTAAGTGGTTGGATTAAAAAAATAAAATGATATTTTGTGAAACATGGAAATTCCATGAAATTCAAATTTCATGGTCCGTAAATAAAGTTTTATTGAAACAGCCACATTCATTTGTTTGTGTATGATCTATGGCAGCAGAGTTGTTGTTGCAACAGAGACCATAAGATTCTCAAGACCTAAAATATTTATTATCTGTCCTTTTGCAGAAAACTTAACCCACCTCTGGTCTAGGCAGTAAAGAAGTACTTATTTGAAAGTACGTGGCAACGCATATGAAATCGGCACACTGGATAGTGAAGCTCAAGTGTTGGGTGTATGAAAGGAATCACTCTTCAGATGGGTACCCAAAAGTGTGGGAGGGGAAGCATCTGAAAAGAGAAAGTGTGTAAGAATTAAAGAGGCATCCTGTGTCCATACAGCCTGGGAACAGAAAAGAAGGGAAATGCAGCTTACGTATGGATGTGTAGTCTTGATATACACAACATAAAACATAGATTGATTTTCACTGCTGTTGTCCTGCCATATTGTTTGGTGTCTGAAAACAATAAAATACCTGTACATTTGCTTGGAAGCATCCTTTCATTTCTCCCTTGATGTTCATTAGACTTACATGCTTGAGAAAATTCCAAATCAACCTCTCTTTCATAGTTACTTTTTTTTTGTAATAGCCTCTGTACCAGCTAAGCTCTCCAGTGTTGAGGGGAAGGACTTGACTTCCAGACCCTGGCAGCCCTGCTCTTCTCTGCCTCCTTGAAGAAACGGGCTCAGATGGAAAGACGTCTGGTCAAGAGCCCGTTATCGGGGATATTACCCGTTCTATGAGTGGCACTTCCCACCCACCCATCATTATCGAAATACACTTGGCTGCTAATTTCCTGGAAGATTCAAATGCTCCTACTTCAAGGTCATCTCAAAGGAGAGTTTAAAGAGCATCTCTCTACCCCTCCCTTCCCTTGTAAAATATGTATATTTACAAGAGCATGCATAAATGGTCACCAGGGAAGATAAGCTATCAGAGAGTTGGGAGATCTCTTTCCTCATACAGTTCACATATCACTGAAGCAGATAAAATTGGTTTCGTACCTAGCCTCCGAATACACTGTTAAGGACTCTGTCCTGAAAATTGATCTATACCACTACGATAAAATTCAGAACATCTCTTTCATAAATATCTAACGGTGGCGTCAATGGCTGCTGCTCCTGCCTGGCTCCCAGGGACTGCGCTCTGGCAGGCAGAGAGCGGCCTTTAGCTCATGGCCTGTGTTTGCACTGTGACTGTCGTCAGAGGCTGCCTCAAAACTTAATTAAAGCATTAGGTTGAGTGCAGTACGATGTAAGCCTCAGTTTACAGTTATTAAAGTCAGTTGCCTGACTGCCCATGGAATGTTAGATTAAATCTCTGTTTAATTTTAATAATAATAATAATGATGGCATCCGGGATCCACCACTTGTCATTTTCCAAATGCTGTGTGCAGTTTTTTTCATGCCTGCTTCCTGTGGCCCTGAGTGCTGCATGTGTTACTGTCAGGCTTTGTAACTCACTAAAAGCCGACAGGACTGCAGGATTTCTTTGTTCTGTCTTATAGTACTAATGTCATTTGAAAAGTCAATGCATCCATGTATCTAGAGTTAGACATAAAGACCTCAGTTGGAAGCCATATGTGTACCATATGGGGCATCTGTGAAAAACAGAGGTAAAATAGTAGATAAAAATTAAGCAAGCATAAGGTCAGCTCTTACATGGTAACTCTAATTGGCTATTAGACAAAATTTGATTGGACAAATATGGAAAGATTGTATTCATTCCAATGTAGAAAAAATGTGAACCAGTCTTTACGTGGTGATATATAACCTTGGGATTGAATCAGAAGCCTGGCACATAGTAGGTATTTAATAGATGCTTACTAAATAGTGGAATGAGGGATAGTGAGCAACAACCTTGGAGCCAGAAGATGTAGTAATGAGACTCTGCTTTTGTCATTCACAGTATCTGTCAGCTAAAGCAAGGAACGCAACCTCAGTTTAATTTACACTAAGGAAAGACTAGGTTTCTTCCTCTCTAAAGTAGAGAAATGCCTGCTTCCCAAGACTTCTGTATGGGCTGAGTTGAATAATTAATGTGAAGTACTTTGCAAACTTATGTAAGTTATGTGATGTATTATTTTCTTTACTAAAATTGCTACCTATGGATTGATGACTTAAACAGGTGCCGAGAAGGATCCAGATACTGCAAGACAAAAGATAGTTTATTATGAATTAAAAATTGCATATTTGAAAGAAACACACCATGTAAATTAAAGCCATATGTATAAATGATATAATGATTTTGGTGACATAAAAAAAAAGAGTCAGAATCATAAGATCTAAAACCTAGGACCGGTTTTGCTACTCTTATAAGTATGTGATTTTTGGCAAGTTCCTCTCCTTGCTTTCTTTAATCAGGAGACAGGACTGAGTGATTTTGAAGTCTTTTCCAGTTCTGTGATTCAGTGATGCAGATCCTAGCAGACTCAAGAGCATGTCAAGTTCTTCATTCTTAAATTCATATGTATGTGTTTCTGTACACCTCAAATTTTATTTTGTTCCTGCATGAAAATATTAACTCTCCCCTTAAAGGAGTCCCAAGAGTCTCTGAGTGAGATTGGAAGAGAAGGGACATTAGCAAAGTACAAATCAAGTTACTGGGTTTTGTGTGGCCCATCATTTTGTAGAATTGAATTTTTATACACAACTAGAGGTTTCTAAGTGAGCTTTCTGAGATACTTCCTTTAGCTCCCTCCCTTTCTCTCTATCTTTAGCTGACTCACAGAAGACAAGTGGTATCTGGTGCTGGGAGCTTCTGGTATGCAGGGATATTGCCAGTGATTCTCTCTGGGCTCTTTATTCTGGTTGAGCCATGGATGGAAAGCTCTGGTGGTCACAGCTCATAGAGACTGTATTTACCCTTCAATGGTGAATGATTTCTGAAGAGCCAATGGAGGCTGAAATTCTGATTTAAGCAAATAGCAGTCAACTAAGTATTTTCTGGAGGAAAACGACTGAAGTCTCTAATGTTGGGGTCAGGGGTGGGGGTGTTGTGTGATGTCAGCAAACCTATCACTGCTATTCTTCTCACTCGTGCCATAGATGTGAGTTTCTAAAACCTTGAATTTGCATTTTGAAATTAAATTATTCTGTTGTGTAAATTTCTTAGATGGCCTCCTTACTTGCTAAGTGACTGGTGGTTTATTGTACAAATTTAGAAAAATGCTACTTATCTCTAAAAAACTGTATTTCTAAAAACTCCCATGATGAGGGCTCTCCTGTTTTTTTACTACTACTATTACTACTACTACTACTACTAGTATTATTTACATAAAATGATTTCGCGATCATATACAAATTCATCTTAACACCATCCCATTTTTGCTTATTGGGCCTCTTTCTGCAAAGCAATTTGAATCCTTTGGCTCTTTCCTGAGGAGGGTTAAAAGTGAAATAAACAATTATGCACCAGGGAGGGAAAACATAAAGACCAAAATAAAACATAACTATCATATCTCATTTAGGGTTCTCTCTGAAGTCTCTTTTATCTAGAATTCACTTATGCTAACCCGAGGCCTGTGGTCTTATTTAATATCAGTCTGTAATAAAGAGCCCTTCAGCTAAATATGGTCGTATTCCACTATTAACTGCAGCTCTTGAAGCAGTCATCGAGGGAAGGAGAGTCGGAACCCTTCAATGTCAAGACGTTTAGAGGCACTCTAGCATCAATCAAGATGCACGTTCGCTAAGTGCCTGCTTTCATTTACATGAAATATTCATACAGCATTCCGTTTTGCTTTTCTCTCTCCTAATCATCACTTTTCGGAAGAAGCTACAATCATCTCAGTTAGGGGAGGGTGTTATGGGACGTGCTGTACCTTTCAAAGTCAGGCTTCCTGCAGATAGCTAGTTCTGTAATGAGGCAGCAGACTGCATAGACCGCCAAAGGTCTCCCTCACAGAGGCTGGCCTTGTTATCATGTACTATTCATCTTCAAGTATACAACTTAGTGCAAATGAAAGTAATTAATTAACCATAACAAACCTGTCAAAAAGCTATTTAGGATTTTGACAGAAAAAAAAATTTAACATTTGCTTTAAGTGGAAAACAAAAATCCTAGCTCAGAAAATTCAGAAGCAATTCTATTTATGCAAGCTTTTCCATTATTGCTCCCCCTTAATTACATAAGTAGCATTTAAATTAATTTTCAGTCCTTTTGATTTATATTAATTGTATGATGCTTTTAAAGTTGACACAAGTTTTTTTTTTTTTTTTTTTTAAGATAGCACTTGGGTGAGAAAATTTGTCCCTATATAAATAATTTCAAAAAGTAGATATGGTATACTTTTGGTTATCTAAATTGTGATTAAGAGTACATGGTAACTGGGGAGTACCTTCTCTCCCTTCATTTCTTCCTTCTTTTCTCCCTGCCTCATTCCCTGCCTCCTTTCCTCCTTTGTTCTCCCCTTTCCTCCTTCCAAAATAGCAATTTAATTGTGTATTACTGGAAATTTTTCCTTAAATATTAAACATGTTTTAAACATTCACCTATGTTGTAGCATGTGTCAACAGCTGGCTCCTTTTCATTGCAGAATAGTTTTCCATTGTATGGCTACACCAAATTTTGGTTATTCATTCACCAGTAGACGGATGGCTATTATAAATAATGGTGCTGTCCAAATTCTTTTGAATAACATTATAGTAGCAAATCTTTACCAGTTGAAGATAGCTTTGGTTTCAGCGAGCAGAATAAAGTTACTTGAAGCCCAATTGATAAGTCAAATAAATAGAGGGAAAGTGTTGATTGCTATTAAAAGTAAAGTATCATTATAGAAAAGAGTTATGTGATTTGTCAATTGTATAAGGAATTTCTAAAGAGCAGTTGTCATTTTTAAAATTTTTAATTTTCAATTGTGAGTACATAAGAGTTGTAGATATTTATTAGGTGTATGTGATGTTTTGATACAGGCATATAGTATGTGATAATCAAATCAGAGCAACTGAGGTTTCTATCATCTCAAGTCTTTATCATTTCTTCGTGTTATGAATATTCCAATTTCACTCTGTTATTTTAAAGTATACAATAAATTATTGTTAACTATAGTCATTGTATTGTGCCTCCAAATACTAGATGTTATTCATTGTATCTAACTGGTATTTTTGTACCCATTACCCATCTCCACTTTATCCCCTCACCCCACTTTGTTACTCTTTCCAGCCTCTGGAAAGCATATTCCAGTCTTTAACACCATGAGTTAATTTTTTTTTTTTTTTTTTTTTTTTAGCTGCCACGTACAAGTGAGAACATGGGATATTTATCTTTCTGTGCCTGGCTTATTTGATTTAACATAATGTCCTCCAGTCTCATCCATGTCATTGCTAATGACAGGATTTCTTCCTTTTTTTTTTTTTTTTTTTTTTGAAACAGAGCTTCCCTCTGTCATATAGGCTGGAGTGCAGTGGCATGATCTTGGCTCACTGAAACCTCCACTCCCAGGTTCAAGTGATTCTCCTGCCTCTGCCTCTGGAGTAGCTGGGATTACAGGCATGCACCACCACACCTGGCTAATTTTTGTATTTTTAGTAGAGATGGGGTTTCACCATGCTGGCCAGGCTGGTCTCAAACTCTTGGCCTCAAGTGATCCACCCGCCTTTGCCTCCCAAAGTGTTGGAATCACAGGCGTGAGCCACTGTGTCCATATCCACATTGTGGAATTTCCACTGTGGATATGAACCACCTTTACTTTATGCCTTCAGCCATTCATGGATACTAAGGTTGCTTCCGTATATTGACTATTATAAATAGAGCTGCAGTAAATGTGGGAGTACAGATATCTTTTTGATATACTGATTTTCTTTTTTATGGTTATATACTCAGCAGTGGGATTGCTGCATCATATGGTAGCTCTATTTTTAGTTTTTTGAGAAATCTTCATACTGTTTTAATATACCTGTTGGCCATTTGTATGTCAAAAGACAGTTATCAATTTTGAGTAATGTCAGCATCTTTATCATGTAATTATTCTCCCCATGGATAAGATCTATATTAATTTAAAAAATGAAACTGATTGCTATTTAGTCATACCCCTAAGTATGTATTTCATTTTTTCAAGTTCCATTTCAGAAAGCAGTTTAATTAGTCTATACTTATCCTTGAATAATAACTGTGACAGATACCAAGTAAAACAAAGTTCTTGGTGGGGGGCAGTAGCTGAAGAACTACGTATGAAGAATGCTTAGTTTTCAAATTTAAAAATAAAAAATCAACATCAGTAAATATAATTAAAGCAATTAGATTATAAATACATCGATAGTGCCATCATTGCCTTTTAGGTGCATTGCTACCATAGAATAATTGTAGATTTGAAATAACAAACATCCTTTATTTACTCTTTTGCTATGTGTTCCTATGTAGCTATCTCATGCATTGTCTGTATCTAATGTAGAATATATATGTGGGTCTATATTTGACTATTTCATTAACGTAATCACATGCAATTATAAAACTGAGTAACTCATCTTTAGCTATCCATTAATACTGTTTATTTGAAAATTCTAAAGTCTCTGATTAATAATTGTTATTTCCATGTAATTATTTGTTAATCGCAAACTGTTGTCATTTATTTAAGCAGTCAACATTAAGGGACCTATGCTTAATTAAAAATTGTACATTTGCATTTCTGGCTTCTTTGAAAAGATGAAACATAAATCCATCAAACCACCTTAGAACTTTCAAACTTGCTTTTTTTTTTTTTTTTTTTAACATCTGTAGTTCTCATTACCCAGAAGTTATTCTGTCCCCTCTGTTAAATTACTTTATGCTGCAGCTTAAAAGAACATGTCTTGCTTTCATCTAGCATTTCAAATAGGGCAAAGTCTGCTGTACAATTTCCAAACACAACTGTGCTAACAGAGATGAATTACTAGAGTTTATATAATTTATATTAGGAATTCATAGACCTAGCAAAAGGGATTAGTACATTTTATTTCAGGGCAGGAGATGATCCTGTCATTAATGGTCGATACTTTCATCATCTTTTAAACCTGAGGAATTTCCTGGGTGACAAGACTGTAAGGACATATCAGAGATTCACAGCTGTGAGCTTTATCTGGACATGCACTGCTTTACTCACAGTATGTGGACTATGTTCCATCAAAACTGGATTAGGCTGTCAATCACGTCTTCCGATGTATATTGTATTATGATTTTTTGAAAATGTCACTGAGATCAGAGTAATTTCTTGGCTAATTGCATCTTGTCTCTTCTTAATACCGTGCATGTAATGGTTTCATTACCTGACGTGACAATCACAGCCCCTGGTCCAGTATTAAGGGCAGTTTTATTTCTCTTCTTTTTTACACACACATATACATGCTCACATACATCTAAGGCACTTCTTTAATAAGAAAGAAAAATGTATTTAAAGCACTTCTAAGTTTTATGAAATAAAGTGTATGTGTAGGATTCCTTGTTTTCCCTATGGTGTAACATGTACATAAGAGTTGAAATTGTTTCTGTAATCCCCAAAGCATACCCAATACTTAATATAGTATTTTCCCTTTCTGTTCTAGAAATAGATTAAAGAAGATATTAACCTTTAAGAAACTGTCACTCATTACTCACAATGCCTCTGCCTTTCTCTAGAGAATCTGCTCCAAACACACAAATATTTGTGTTTCAGTTTTATCTATTTAGCCACGGGAGATTCATGTGAATGAACATTAGGTTTCATTAAATCTACCTTGGTGCATGCAGTTCTAGTACTACCTGTTACTGGTGGAAAAATGGGCAACAAGAGATATTAAAATACCTATAATAATGAGTTGTTCTGAAAAGGTGGTTATTAAAAGTCTCCCTGAACACACGCAGGTTTGGATTAAAATAGGTACAGTAGATACAGGGATGAATAATGTAATGTGCTCATCTCATACTAGTAAGGGCAAATAATTCTATGATTTCTGGGTAGAAAGAAAAACAGAACCATAGGCTGTTGCTTTATTCTGCACCTCTTAAAGAATATCTGCAGTGCCACAATGTGATACCATGATTTCTGTGGTGGGGTTGGAAAGGAGGGAGTTAGCTATAGACCTGATGGGGAAAATACTCCAAACAAAGGCTTATGAGATATTGTTCTAATCATTAACACGTAGTAACTCCCAGTGGGTTTTGTTGATTAGATACTACCGTCTAAAATGATGGTGGTGATGGTTGGTTGGGCGGAGGGTAGTGCTGGTTCGGGAAGGATGTAGAAGCATTTTAGGGAGTGATATTGTTCAGTGTGTGCTTCTGGCAGCTCCCATATCCCATCAGTGATGGGGAAGAAGCTATACTTCTGGTTTCCTTTGATTTTCCTTTTCCAGTGAAAATACTAATTGTGAGCTACAGGGTAGGAGATGTGGATGAAAGATGGGCAGATTTTGCCTGGCGTTCTTGGTAGGGGGCGGCAGCTGAAGGATGCACTTGTGTTTGGATCTGACAGCAGCTGTGGTATCCAATTCAAATTCACTGTGGCAGGAAGAAAGAGTGTAAATGCTAAAGTATCCAAGGTGTTTGTAAATACTCTGCTTTGCTAAGCATTCAAATCTGGTTTGCATAGATTGCTGCAATTGCCGGTATAAATGTAGAATGACATTTATAAAAAAATAATGTGCAACCGGAGATGAGTTTTCCTTCTAAATGTTTTTTAAAACAGTATTGCACAATCCATTGGTATTCATATAAAATAGATAAAGAGTGATGATTAAAAAGCAGCTTCTGCCTACTCCCTATTGCAGGGGGGGAAAATTAATTGTGATTTCGTCAAAAGCTTCCTGCACATAGGTTCAAGAATCACCTATATTTTAGCTTCAGATAGATTTCAAAGTTAATGAATTATCCATTTGTCTTGCAAAAAGAATTTGCTAAACTGGCTGCAAATCTTTCCTTGAATGGGTAGTGGAATGTCAAAGAGCTATCAGACATTGAAAAGTCAAATAATAGTCAGCAGGTACCCACTTAACGTAGATAACTTGTTACAGACTGACCTCAGTACATATGAACTTCCGAGTGGTGCATTGAATTCCCTTACATGCACTGGAATGTAGAATTCACTGATACTAGGCACCTTTGAGGTGATGAATCTCCCTCTGCTCATCCTGTCATGCTGGTTTTCTCAGACACTTGTGGAAGTCTCAACATTGGAGATGAAGTTACCAACAAAATGGGTTAGGATAAGGATGACATGGAATTCCATCACTTGTTTTGTGGTAGCAGAAAACAGATTTGAAGGAAGTTACTACGTTTTTAAATAAAACGTAGAGGGATGGTATAAATAAGGACACATTTTTGGTTTTCACATGGAAAAAATACAGTCACATGCCTGCATTTTGGAGCCATATTTGCATTGAATTGTGTCAATTCTCAGCACATTTAAGCAGATGTGGACCTAGGCCTCAGTTGTCATACTTGGCTTATGATGCCTCTTTTGGACTTCTGTGGCCCTGTGTAGAAAGGCTGCTGGCCTAACCTGTGGTGATGTAGAGTATCAGATTTTACTGCTGAACAGCTTGGATTTTCCATTTTTCCCCGGTCTACCTAAGATCACCGTTGTTGCCTGCCTTACAAATGAGACAGCAACCCCATTTTGGCCTGAAGAGTCCATGGTGATAGATGGTTAGGTCATCCTCAACTATCTCCTAAATGGATAAATGTGTCAGAATGAAAATACAGTTTATGCTTTGACATCAGAGGGGTAAAATGAAACAAAGTTGGGTTGTTACCTGCCTGGTAAATCCCAAACTTCAGAGATCAATGTGTGTACCTCTTTGGAAAATATCACCGGTGGCACTGGAGCTTTACTTAGGAGACAATAAGAAATGTCTTGATGGAGAACTACTTAGTCAATCTCTTGCTGTTATACTGAGAATTACCTCTGACAACTCCGAATGTGTCATCAGTAGAGTCTTGGGCTGTGGATACAATTTAGGGAAGCTTTCTTTAAATGAGAGAACTCTTAATGTGGATTTCAGTAGACCCAAAATCCTAGCAGAATGGTATGAAAACTCTGTACAAATGAGCATTCGCCTATTCTACCTGTGAGCAGGTTCTCAGAGTCTGTGATTGAAAAATAGATCAAGAACAACTAATATACAATAAAGAAATGTTGAGATCATTAACAGAAAAATCCACCACTAACACTGAATTTTTATCATATATAGTGGTTGGTACCAGCATTCGTGAGTGAGGTGAAAATCCGAAGAAGTCAAAATCACTCATTAAATCTCTTAGGAAAGCACTGTATTAAGGACCAGTACACTTTCTTTCAAAAAGGACAAGCAGTTGGTTTTCTCTCTCTCCAGCTAAGCCCCACATTCTTGTATCCTAATTAATAGTCACCCTAAGATACAGTAGGTAAAAATACCAGCACACCTTAAATTGTACTATCTGTCTCTCAACTTTGGCTGAGCACATATAGCTGAATTCAAACAGGATAAAGATGCATGTATAATATGTCTTCACTTTATTTGATCATCCCAGTAATATTTGAGGATGGCTAGGCAGACATATGATTATTTCCATGTTATAGATCAGAGAAGTTGACTGAACTGAGTCTTAGTTTTTGGATGGAAAAAATCTTGCTTATTACCTTGACTCAGAGAGATAAATTGTACCATTTCTTTGGTTCTACATAGTAAGTGGCAGAATAAAGACTACAATTTATTTCTCAACATCTAATTTAAGATTGTTTTTACTGGAAGGAAGGAGTCAAAGTCAGTAGTGCTAACCAACAAAGATTGTTAGTAATGATAGAAGTAGCAAAAATACTGTAATTGTAACATGATAATAATCAAGGTACTTTTAAAACCCCTTTCTTTGGATATGTTTTTTTAATAACCTAATTTTCCATTTTCTCATTTTTCTGTGCATTACAAGTTCCTGTGGAAACAATAAACATCAACAACTTTGCATACCTATCATGTTAATCCTGTCATTGAGGCTTTTTTTTTTTTTTTTTGAGACAGAGTCTTGCTCTGTCACCCAGGCTGGAGTGCAGTGGCGTGATCTCAGCTCACTGCAATCTCTGCCTCCTGGGTTCAAACCATCCTCCTATCTCAGCCTCCTGAGTAGCTGGGGTTACAGGCATTAGCCACCATGCCCAGCTAATTTTTTTCCTATTTTTAGTAGAGATAGGATTTCACTGTGTTGGCCAGGCTGGTCTCGAACTCTCAACCTCAGAGATCTGCCCACCTTGGCCTCCCAAAGTGCTGGGATTACAGACGTGAGCCACTGCACCTGGCTGGTCATTGAAGCTTTTGTGATTTTTCAGTGAGATGATATAAGCAAAGGTCTTTTGACAAATCTATAAATAAAAGACATTATTATAAGTAAGATCAAATTTTATGAGCAGTATTATTACTATGTTTATTACTACTACTGCATATCAGTTTACTAACTGTGTACAACAGTGTTTCCCAACAAGGATAAGTAGTGGGGAGAATAGGACTTAACAGAGTGACCCAGGAAAATTTTCAAAATACACATTGTACCCTTGTTAATCCTAACTCATTTCTCACTTCCCTTTACTCTTCAAGTTGTACAACAATTTGAGAGTTGAGTATACACAGTTTAAACAACCAAATGACAAAAATAAACTCCCAGGTGGCTCTGGGTTACATCTCTTGGTTGATAACCACTAATCAATACTCTAGGGAGTAAATTCATTCATTTTACTCAGTCACTCATCCATCAAATACTTTTTGCACATCTACTGCATACACCTACTGGGCTAGATGGACAATTCATTGACTAGCTCAAAAGGCAACAAGAGTGACCATTTTTGTAGTTTTTCATTTGTATTTGTTAATAAAAATATATTGTGGAGACACTAATACTTCATCCTGGTGCAGGTATTTAATATTATTTAGAAGTTGATAGACAAAGTTACACATTGACCTGTTACAATTCTAGAAACAGTAGTCCTTAGCATCTGCCAGTTTTTATGTCTCTAATTACATATATCGATCTCATTTTCATATCTGAGTAAAGAAAACATGTAGGGAAGAAGAGATCAGGGCAGTTTCCAAGTAGGTTAAGGATACTATGGCTCTTTTGTGTAGTCCTTTTTGCAATATGTAGTGACTATGAAAAGCTATTACTATATATACTTTTTGCTAGGCTGAAAGATAGATTTTTATATTGAAGAGCAAAATAATAAGGCAATATAATATAAAATAAAGATTACAGGTCCATGAAATAACAAATATTTAGTTGATACAATACATAGCAAGAGAATCTCCTTGGCTAAATTCTAAGACTAAGGTAGACAAGCAATGGGTCCTTGTAGCATTAAGTGGCACCTCAAATCATTGTTAGTGGTCTTCTCTTTACTATATATGTACTGCTTTATATTTCACTTAAATTCTCCTCTTTTCCTTTCTCCTGTAGCCCACCTTGCATGGCTCATTCAAGTTGCTCCTCCTGCTTCTGTGACAAAACATCAAATAACATGGTTGCTTCATGCTTCACAGAGCTTGCACTGAACTGCAAGATGTATCCAGTCTTTGCATCTGATGCTCCCCTGCTTCAGAATAACTCATATTATGGGATCCTGGTTCTTAATCTTATTTTTGTAATCGTTTTGTGCTTTTGATTTGCCTATTCACAGCCTTGGCTCCTGTCTGTGGGGCTACAGTCCCTTAGGCTATTTTGAGAAATAGTCTTTCTGTATAGATTTCACCCTGGTCCCCTTGGCGCAAATATGATTTTTTTTTTTTTTTTGAGATGGTGTCTCGCTCTGTCACCCAGGCTGGAGTGCAGTGGTGCAATCTTAGCTCACTGCAACCTCCGCCTCCTGGGTTCAAGCAATTATCCTGCCTCAGCCTCCTGAGTAGCTGGGATTACAGGCATGCACCACCACGCTCAGCTAATTTTTGTATTTTTAGTAGAGACAGGGTTTCACCATGTTGGTCAGGCTGGTCTCGAACTCCTGACCTTATGATCTTCCTGCCTCAGTCTCCCAAAGTGGTGGGATTACTGGCTTGAGCCACTGCACCTAGCCCACAAATAAAATTCTTTTTTTTTTTTTTTTTTTTTTTTTTTTTTTTTTTTTTGAGACGGAGTCTCGCTGTCGCCCAGGCTGGAGTGCAGTGGCGCAATCTCGGCTCACTGCAGGCTCCGCCCACTGGGGTTCACGCCATTCTCCTGCCTCAGCCTCCCGAGTAGCTGGGACTACAGGTGCCCGCCACCACGCCCGGCTAATTTTTTGTATTTTTAGTAGAGACGGGGTTTCACCGTGTTAGCTAGGATGGTCTTGATCTCCTGACCTTATGATCCGCCCGCCTCGGCCTCCCAAAGTGCTGGGATTACAGGCGTGAGCCACCGCGCCCGGCCATAAAATTCTTATACCTAATTTTCAACTGCCTTTCCAATTTCTTCCAATTCTCTTTCTACTTCTCCACCATGTATTTCTGTGGTTCTCAAATCTTGACTCTACTTCTGTATCCAAAATATAGATTCTAAGGCCACATGCTGTACTTGCTGAATTTAAATTTCCAGGGTGTCACTTTTTGGAATGATGAAAATCATTCATGTCTATGCTGTTCTTTATGATAGCCACTAGCCACATGTGGCCATTTAAATATAATGTTAAAAATTTAGTCCCTTAGCTATTCTAGCCACACTTAAGTGTTCAACAGCTGCATATGATTATTGTCAGCACAGATCCAGGCTGTGGGTCCCCAGAAACTTGCTAGTTTGTTCCTGAAAGTTTGAGAACCACTTTGTTAGATGATCAGCAACCTCCCATGATTTTCTGTAGCTCTACTGGTTTAAGAGAGGTGGGTGACTTAGGTCCTAAGACAGGATCGTGAGTAGTCTGAGGAAAATACTGGTATGAACCCAATGAGAATGTGGCAGCATCTGTCTGTCTCAGTATTTTACAACATGAGAAACAAAAACAAATATAATAATGATTCTATTATGTAAAAAAGAGGATACAGTTGGTGACACTTAGATAAGTAATTAATATTAACATGGTGTGTATTATGTTTACCTGACAGTTCACACACACATGTGCACACACTCACATGTAAAAATACTCCCAATATATTTCTCTTAACAATGAAAAGATAATGCAAAAGCTTTCTGTTTTTATTAATTAGAAGAAAGAGAGACCATATTAGGTCAACTGGATCATGTTACAGTCAGCTCAGGTGCTGTCACTGAATGGAAGGTGATGCACTGACCATTTTGAGGTATGTGGTATCTTCCTTGACCTGCAAGGTAGATGTGGTAGTGGCCAGAACAGTTGGGTCAGACAAGAATGAAACCATGAAAGTTAAACTGGAGTTCACTGTTCCCATGAACCTCCTAAGTAATTTTTATGACGAAGACTCTATGTTAAATGTAATTACCTTGCTATGTATAGGATCTGTTTTTTAAGATATGAGATTTATGGCTTATTTATTTCTCCTTTGGAACACATACACACATTTACAAAATGGATTTCATACTTCACACAATGTCTGATACATTATTGCCTACTCTGCCTTCCTCCCAGTCAACGAATTATGACTTAACCAGTGTTTTGGAATATGATGGGAAAAAGTTTATACCAATGGGAAAAAATGGATTTCTAACTACAAAGAGGATCCCAGGAACCAGTCAAGCTCCTGTGGAGAGAATCTTCAGGGAAAAAAAAAATTTAAAAAAAAAACAGCCTCTGGATACAAAATGGAACCCATTTGCCACATGGATTATTTCCATCTTAGGCATGATATTTAGGTAATGTTTACTTTTTTTCACTTGGTGCTGATGAGGTCAACATAAGTACTAGTTCTGCAAATTGTAAACCTCACTAGGGGATAAAATTATCCACATCACTTGTCAAGCAACATGGTAAGGAGACGGTTTTCAGATGTAAGTGTTAACTTTCCTTTTCATCAGAGACATTTTCTTTTTCTGTATTCTCTACTACATGGCATGGCAATCTCTTAAAAATACCGAAGTACCTACTCAAAACTGTTTCTGGCCACCATTTTGAATCTGAATCACTGAGCATACCAAAGGTATTTTATTGCTCTAATTCAGTAAAATACCCTAAGACTTGTCATAGAACACAAAGTGACAAGTTCCAAATGACAACTAAACAGTAAAGTTGAAACAAAAACTGCACTTAGTTTGGTAAAAATGTTGAATTGTAGTATAAACTAAATATGATGAATTGCATTTATTCTTAATCAGCAATTTTTAATATGGACATCTTATTTCAGCAACATTGTAATCACCTTGTATTAGTCTGTTTTCATGCTGCTGATAAGGACATACCCGAGACTGGGAAGAAAAAGAGGTTTAATGGACTTACAGATCCACATGTCTGGGGAGGCCTCACAATCATAGCAGAAGATGAAAGGCACATCTCACATGGCAGCAGAAAAGAGAAGAGAGGCTTGTGCAGAGTAACTCCTCTTTTTAAAACCATCAGATCTCCTGAGACTTATTCACTATCAAAAGAACAGCATGGGAAAGACCTGCCCCATGATTCAATTACCTCCCACCAGGTCCCTCCCACAACACATGGGAATTCAAGATAAGATTTAGGTGGGGACACAGCCAAACCATATCATACCTGAAATATTTAAATCTATTCCTATAATATACAATCCTTACCTTCCACAAGGTTACAGCTTGATATGATAGTAACTCTGGTGACAAAGTTTCTGGTCACAATTTTATACCGGTACCTAAAATGAATCAATTATTACCAATATGGGTATAGATCATCCAGTAGGCTAGGCAGGCAGAGAACTTGCAATTGTAATGATCCTGTAAAGTTAGTTTTACCTCCATTATGTTTGGAAGCAGCTGGGTAATGGTTAAAGAATATTTTTTGGAAGCAGTTGGACCTGGATAGAATTCAGGCTCTGCCTTGTGAGTCTAAGCAAGTTATTTAGAGCCCTATCGTGCAGTCTCCATGTCTATAGAATAGTATCCACTTCAGAATGTTATTGTGAAATAAATGACATTATGCGTGTAAAATAGCATGGTGCCTGGCACATAGTTTGTGTTTAATGAATATTGAAATACTGTTGTTATTTTTATTATTTCAATTGATTCAGATTCTTAACTCTAGTTATATAAGCCTTGTTTTTCTTAAGCATGTACTTAAAATTTATGAAGATTTGTTGTTTTGTATTTTAAACACATGTTTAAAAGTATTCAAACAGCATAGAAGTATAAAAGTTGAAAAGTGAAAAGCCTTCTCTTTTTCCATATTGATTCTTCTATATTGTTTTCTGGAATTTGTTTGTTTGCTTATTTTGACCCATGAACACATACTCCCACGAAGGGATCTTGCCATACTATTTTGACATATATTTTTTACCACTCAATATATCATAAACATTTTTTCAAAATATCTCTTTAGATGCATATAGAAAAATTATTACTTAAACAGTTTTACATGATTTATATAATTCTGCAATTTGTTTTTATGTGTTCACTAAACATACTTGGTACTTTTAACCACTTCACATTATTCTACAGTAGGCATAAAAGTTCCATGATTTATTTAATCATTCTCCTTGTGAAGGACAACTAGGCTACCTCTAGTTTTTCAAGATAGACTTCTTATTTTCCAAATAGTTAGAATTTTTTTTTCAGGAGCTAAAATAGAAACCTTGATTTCTCTGAAGACTTTATTTTATTTTTCCAGTGAATATAATAGCCATGTCCCTGGCAGGATCAGAATATCATAACTATTTGCTGTACATCTCAAGAAACAGCTGTATGAATTGACCTAGTTACAGATTTCTAGAGATTTCTGTGACCCTTTCCTTTCATAGGACATAATTTATTAACAAAAAGAGTATTCTTTAGAATGTCCTTCTTTCTGAATTTTTCTACATCTTTAAAAAATGCACTAATTGCCCTTTGTTGAGCATCTACTATGTGCCAAATGCTTTTATTTTCATTTTGGATAAGGTTAGGAAACATGCCCAAGGTTAAAAATTTAGGATTTAGCAGAGGTGACATTTGAACTTAAGACTCAAAAACCTTCTGTTCCTTCAGCAAGCTAACTAAAAATGGTCAAATAACAAGAAATCAATTAAATCACAAGGATTTATATAAACATGATGAGATATATATTACTTTAAACCTTAATTATATATCATTACAGTCTTGGGAGCAGAATCTAAACCTCTGTCTTCTAATTACATCATGCTGCTCCTCTGATCAAAATTCTCCAACGGCTTCCCAGCACACTATAAATAAAATCTAATCTTTTGATGATGATCTTCCCTGCCTGCTTAATTTGGCCACTCATCAACTACTACTTACCCAGCCAACTCTACTTTACCCATTCTGGCCTTCATGAAATTTCAGCAGCTTGAGCAAACATCCACATCTTTGCATTTGCCTTGATGTGCCTGGAACACTTTTCTGTAGATCTATGCTGGGCTTGCTCCATCACTGCTTTCTGGTCTCTATTCAAATGTCACCTTCTTTCAATAGGACTTACCCAATTATCCTAACCCTACTGCTTCACTCTACTCCCTCACCCTACCTTGTTTTTTCTCCAGCGCTCATTACTCCCTGATGTTATAGCATAGATTTATGTTTTACTTGAGAGTTGTCTGGCCTCCCCCAGTACAATGCCAGTTACTCCCAGGTAAGGGCTTGCTCCTCTGTACCGGCAGCCCTAGAACAGAGCCAGGCACTGAGTAAATACAGAGGAAGCTTTTACTAGAAGCAGGAATACATGATTGCCTCAGCCTATTTTTGCTAGTTTATTTTCTATTGTTTATTTTTTAAAATGTAAGTGATCTCGTGCCTTACCTTTGGCCATATGTGTTGGAAGCACATTATTTAGCAGAAGCTAGTTTGAATATTAAAATACAGCTACGTACACATCTACCTTTATTATTTATAACTTTTATTAAAGGATCATTAACAGTTTTTACTGAATTATTGAAGTCTTATTGAAATGTATTTCAGAAAAGTGCACAAATCATAAGTGCTGATTTTCACAGACTCTACCACTATGCATCCATCACTTGGATCAGGAAAAAGCACATTACCAGTTCCCTAGAAGCACACTCGTGTTCCCTTCCAGTCACTACCTACCTCCACTAAGGGTACTGTTTGGCTTCCACTAGCATAGATTAATTTCATCTATCTTCCTTGTCTTTATTTTAATATTTATTTTAATTCTCTGTTTACAATATTTGTTCCTTATTTAGTCCCTGATTTCCAAGGCTCTAGAATTCTTTTACAGAGGAAAAAAATTAATTAAGTCTCTTAACATCTCTTCTTCTTTTAACAGTTTTGTAGGAGCAAAACTGCAAAGCCTCATAGTAATTCTCAATAGACACAGGAAATTCAAGCAATGAGCCAAGAGTTGAATGCATTTGATCTGTGAAATGATTTGGGCTCAAAATACTTTGGGGAATAGCAACTTTTGTGTGTATCATTTTAAAGATAAATACTATTTAAGTAGAATATCAAGCAAAATAATGAAATATATCAGTAATGGTAATATATTTAGAAAAACATACAGCCCAACAATGCACTTTGAAGAGATAAAAATGATCTGAAAAACATGATTCATGGTTTTACTACCTTCCAGGAAAAAGGAGGGGGAAAACATAGAAGAAAACGATAAGGAATTAATGTAGTTAAAATATGATAGTAAATTTCAAGAGCATTTTCATGGAAATTACAGTGTTGTTCAGAAGCATCCATTATAGAATTTAAAAAAATAAAAAAAGTGCATTGCTGATTCATCTATGATGGCTACTGCACAGACGGTATTAATATCATTATATCCTTGAATCCTTTCTGTAAGCATCTCAATATTTTTTACCAATATCAATTATTTTAAGCCCAACATATGTTTTAAAACATATCGCTTACTATGTAAATTAATATCATTTGTATCTTTAGTCATTGGAGCTTCTGTGTTTGAATACACAGTTGTACTGTTTGGATACCATGCATGGTGTCACAGTAAGAGGAAAACCTGTCTTGCTAAAAACAGCCTGTGCATGTATCCTATGGGGGTGGCAGCAGGGGCAGATGGTCCCAGTTTTGGTCATTTTCTTTTTAGGTTTACTCTTCAACATGATTCATTTGCACCTTTTATTCAAGCACCTGTAGTACTCAGTTAAAGCATATACACCACATGGAATAGACAATGTGTTCCAGTGAAATAATTTGAATGGAGAATTGAGCTTGAGAAGTGGTTCTTTCAGGTAGCTGAAAACAGGCCAAAGCGATCATATCTCTAGAATGAAGATGCTGGTGTGCATCATCAGGATCATGGGAGGGTACACTCAAACACTGATTGCTGGGCCTACTCCACAGAGTTTCTGATTCAGTATGTAGGAGGTGGAGCTTGAGAGTTTGTATTTCTTATCCTAACAAAGTTCCAGGTGATACTGCTGCTGCTACTCCAGGGACTACACTTTGAGTACCACTGATCAAAAATTAGCCAGGTGTGGTGGCACATGCCTGTAATCCCAGCTACTTGGGAGGCTGAGGCAGGAGAATCACTTGAACTCAGGAGGCAGAGGTTGCAGTGAGCAGAGATCAGGCCACTGCACTCCCGCCTGGGCAACTGAGCAAGACTGTCTCAAAAAATTTAAAAAAACAAAGAAAAACACAACCTTTGAGGTTTATTCCAACCTCCTCTTTCTCCTGTCTCCTTTTAGCCACCCACTGACCTGCCAATGACTCCCCTATATTCACAGATGATTTGGACTTATGGATTCCAACCTTTCCCTGATCCGTAGGTCCTACCACGACCCCGGGAACCTAGATACCACAATGAATGATCGTGCAATACTGGAGTCTTGCAGTTCCCAATTTTCTCAGTGCCAGGAGTCTTAGTCTTTACCATACTCACCCACCCTGGGGCCCAGGATCTTACCCACAGATTTCACCCTATGCCATATTTTCAAACTGCAGGTCAGAGCCATTGGTTAATTTAGTCAGTTGCTTCATTTCTACAAGAAAAAAAAAAAAAAGAAAAGGAAAGAAAATATCCGAAAGCATTGCATGTAATAAGGGGTTTTTATTTCATGAAACTTCTGTTTAAATTATTTGTATTGATGTGTGTACAGGGATGAGATGTCAGATTGTTTTTATTTTTTCTGAGAGTTATGCTGAAAGAAAGTTTAAAAAATAAAAAGCAAAAACAAAAAGATAGATGGTTGTGACTCTGGAAGCAGTGCAAAGGAAAGGAGATCACATCATGGGTCCAGTGCTTGCTTTGTTGGGTTGTGGAAATATTGTTTACACATCTGAATGAAGTCCAAAATTATGAATAATTTGATAATGCAAAAAAATCAGAGTTAGAATATCTAGAAGACGGATATAAGCTCACCTTTGTCAATCATTAATATGGCAATGGGGAGAGTTGTTAAACACCAGCTGTTAAGATCTACCACTGTTTAGACAAAGCCTTCAAATGACCACGTGCACCCTCTTGCTTAGCCTAATCAGAATTGCCACAGCTTAGGCTCAACAGCCAGGCCTGAGTGCTCAAGCAACTGGTCATCAGAAAGCCCATTACTTTATCCCAGAGAGGACGCTAGTGACAGTAAACTGGGTATGAGAGTCCTGACAACTAGGGCTGCTACCTGAAATAAACCTCAACAGATGGCTGTTTTTTGAAAGCATAGAAGGCCTGCTTCTGCTACTGGTGACCAGGCAAGCCAGCTTGGCTCAGAAGCCCAGTAAGAGTCTGAACAACCTTTGGAGGTATGAACGTCCCCACTCAAATCTTCAGAAAGGCCAAACGTGCTTTTGCTGCCTTCTGTTCTTCCCCCAGGCTGTGAGCTTCCCCTCCCTGTGGGCTCTGAGTATGCCTGCCGGGGAGTGGGGACTGGAGTTTGTGGGAGGAGGCACTAAACACCTGATCATTACTGTTTGTGCTCATTTTCTCTTCTCTCAGGAGTTCAACTTACTGTAAGGGATAATTATAGAACAAGGGCAAAGGGCATACAAAATAAAGATTTACCCATCTTCATCCCTAAAGTGTGGCGAGCATGCAAGCTCAGATATGAGAGAGAACAGAACACTTTCTTCTAAGGAATTTAAATTTTCTCCTAGAGGCAGTGGGGATCTATTGAAGGATTTTAAACAAGGAAATTACATAATAAGATCTCTATTTGGAAAGTTCACTTACCAATGGTACTGAGGATGCAGATGCAGGTGGTACCCTTTACAGTAAATATTGTTTCATAGCAAATAGCAGATGAGAAAGGCTCCAGTGAATTCCTAAAATAAATTTTGACTTATTGAAAATGTGAATCTAAGTGATTAACTCTTCTATTTAAAACTCTCTATAACTCCCTATTGCATAGAAAATGGTCTTCAGTTTGATCACACTCCCATTGTAAAGCAAAGTTTGAGAATTCCTCCACTCCACTATGTCTATTTATTTAGTTGTAAATAATATGCACATAGAAAGTACTAGCATAGTAGTTACTTTATAAAAACAAACCTATTTTAAAAGAACAAAATAAAAATATAATCAGGCATTCTGCTTTCTTCCTAATCTCCAAAGGATAATTGCACACCCCTTTGGAGACCTGGGTCCTGAGAATAGAGAAACAGCTCTTCAGCGTGACATGTCAGCCCTTTCATGAACTGACCCATGATGACATCTCCAGGTTGACCTGTCTCCATTGTTGATCGCCAGTGCCTCTAGGGCAGTTTCCTGCATTGATCCAGCAGTTTTTCTCCTTTGCTTTTTTTGTTCATGATGATTTCTTTATGTAGACTATAATTCTTCCATTGTTCTTTCTCCTTCTGTTTTGTCTCTAAAGCATTTCTTCTCATGCAGTATGGACATTATGTATCTATGGGTCACTTTTCCTCCCTTATACCGTGAGCTCCATGAGGACAGGGACTATATCTGAGGCTTGGCTATGTTTCCAATGGAACTGGCAGACACATCTGGCACATTCCCAGCTATAGCTTTAATCAGATTTAAATAGAAGATATATTTGAAGACATGAAAATAAGCAAATACAGGGTGGGGTAATTATGAGATGATACTGGTTTTTTTTCCTTCTGAATGTGTTTTTCTGCTAACTGCGAACATCTTATAGTATATAAAAATGCTTATTTCTAGTAGCAATAGTAATAAACACTAATAATAATGCTTCATGAATAGGATTATCCTCACAGATGCATCAAACTGATTATTGCTGGACAGCACTTTAATTATTAATCATATTTAGATCTTCCTAAGGAATAGTATGAATTCTCCCTCATATTGATTTTTGCTTTATTATTTTATATGTAGTTTAATATAGAATACCTACACTTCCAAATAGCCTTCTTTCAAGGATCTGACAGAAGAGGTAAAATTATTTTCAATTAAAGCAGGCTTTTCCCGAACAGGCTTTTCCCAAAGCAGGCTTCTGAAAGTATTTTGCAAGAGACGATCATGTCTAAATAAGTTTAGAAAACACTGGGTTAAATAGTTAAACATATCGGCCGGGTGCGGTGGCTCACACCTGTAATTCCAGCACTTTGGGAGGCCAAGGTGAGCGGATCACGAGGTCAGGAGATCGAGACCATCCTGGCTAACACGGTGAAATCCCGTCTCTACTAAAAAATACAAAAAATTAGCCAGGTGTGGTGGCGGGTGCCTGTAGTACCAGCTACGTGGGAGGCTGAGGCAGGAGAATGGCGTGAACCCAGGCGACGGAGCTTGCCGTGAGCCGAGATCGCACCACTGCACTCCAGCCTGGGCAACAGAGTGAGACTCCATCTCAAAAAAAAAAAAAAAATAGTTAAACATATCTTCTACAGTAGGATTGTGAAATACTCATACTCATCTTAAAGGACATATAGGCATGATTCCCCACCTCCCCGTCTTTTTTTTTTTCTTTACCATGGGAAGCTCTTTGCTCAAGAAACATCTCACTGAGCTATCCAGGTTCCACAAAACTTTGAGAAACTCAGATTTAAAGCATTGAGGACCACTCTTAGAAGGTACCACTGGTTTGGTACTGACCGTCTTTCAAATCACTATCACCTATTCATATTGTACCAATATCACAGCTTTAGCAATTGAATTTTTAGGAAACTCCAAGAGAGGATGACCTTCAGGAAAGAAAAGTTTTGATATATAAATTCGTTGTCTTTTTACTGAGTAGGTTTTCAATATTAGTATTTGTTGATTAAAGTTAATTTCAAGGAATAACTAGGTCAGGAAGGGCAAGCTAGGGCAACAGAGTCATTTTAGGGACATGAAAGTTAATGGGACAATGTAAGGGCATGATTAGGAGAAGATAAGAATGGGACACAAAGAAGGTAACAAAGCAGCTCCAAAGATTTAAAAACACATGCCAGGCCATCATCATGGCTGCTATGTAAGTACCAGGTTTGCAAAGCTGTCATGGTCCTAATACTAGTATCTAGACACTTTCTCTAAGAAACTCAAGGAGCTTTTTAGATTATCCCCTTGACTTAGATTTGTGATTTGTTTGTAGTTATTTTGTGAGTAAGTAATGAATAAGTAAAGAGAACAATTACCCATAAACAATCTTTATCCCCTTCTTGTTACTATTTGTATATGATTTATCTTACAAGATGTGTTAGGAGTTCTTAGAGAGTACAGGTCATGTCAAATACATTTGGTTGTTCCTGTTAGTGACTACCAGGGCTCCTCGTCAAGTAGGTGCTTTATAAATTCATTCATGAATAAACAAATGAAATTTTATGCAATAAAGAATTTGATTGGCCTTTGTCCATGATATCTGGGAGAGAGATCGGGGTGTCCAATCTTTTGCCTTTCCTGGGCCACATTGGAAGAAGAAGAATTGTCTTGGGCTGCAGATAAAATACACTAACAATAGCTGATGAGCTAAAAAAATAGCAAAAAAAACTCATAATGTTTTAAGAAAGTTTACAAATTTGTGTTGGGCCACATTCAAAGCTGTCCTGGGCTTCATGTGGCCTGAGGGCTGTGAACTGGACAAGCTTGCTCTACATCCTTAAAACTTTCCTAGTAAAAGGAATATCTTTGTTATTCACAATCCCCTTGGAGTACACCTGATAGTTTATACTAATCAGGGGACTCATCATGGGCCCGTAGATAGCCCCAGGATGAGGGGTGATCAAGCTGGAAAGATTAACCACGTGATTAGAGGATTGGGCTTTGCATCACTTGATATAGGCTAGGCTTCCCACCCTTTGAGAGGGGAAGGAGGCTGGAGATTGAGTTCAGTCATCTGGCCAATGATTCAATCAAGCATGCCTACGTAATAGTACTTCAGTAAAAACTGTGGACCCTGAGGTTCAGTGAAGTTTCCTGGTTGATGAAAACATTGATGTGCTAGGATGATGACACATCCTAATCACACAGGTGGAAGGCATGAAAATGCTGCATTCAAGACCCTTCCAGACCTTATTCTATGCTGTGTCTCTTCATTTGGCTGGTCCCGATTGGTATTGATAATTAAGCTGTAATTCTAAGTACAGTGGCTTCCTGAATTCTAAAAGTCATTCTAGCAAATTATTGAATCTGAGGTAGTTGTAGGAACAACCAGCTACACTTGGAATTTGTAGCCAGTTGGTCAGAAGTTTTGGTAGCCTCAGGATCCCTGAAGTGTGGCTGGCCTCTGAAGTGAGGGTAGTTCTTGGAGGACTGAACCCTTACCTTGTGGAGTCTGCAATAATTCCAGGTGGTTAGAGCCATAATTGAATTGCAGCACACTAGTTGGTGTCAGAATATAAACCAATAAAAGAACACTGATGTCCTGACTCCAAGAGGAGTGCTCTGGCTTCTAATATATTCCATATTCCTCAAGAACAAGGATGCTGTCTTATTCCTGTTGCAATTGCCCCATCTTGACATCTCACACAGTGAATTACTTACTGTGGTTGCTTCACAGAGTTTGATTACATGTTAGTTACATGTGTGCCAATAGAGTTAGATTTTATCAAAGGTGGGATCTCACAATCAAAGCCTACTACAAACCCAAGTGAACACAATTAGTTGAGCAAAAATACAAAGCTGACATTGTTAACAGATGTTACGTACCTAGCTTTGAAAGTGTTTGGAACATAGTTATATCCCACTTTCTGTGTTTCAGTGTTTATTCCATGTACATTTTCATTTGACATCTCTGTTGCCATGCTGTATGTGCTTCCAAATGATACAGAAAAAATATTAAATATGCTATGAGTAAGATTCAGGGTTGGAATTCAATTCCTGGCTTTCTAATCTGAGAAATGGTCCTTCAAAATTGTCAGGACTGGGGATACAAGCTGAGTCCTGCACTAGATCCTTCAGCAGGTGGGAGTGTACTGAACTGAAGTGTATGCCACTTGGAAGTCAGGCCCGGGGGATAACTTCTAAGAAGCCACCCCGTCCAGCAACCTGCCTCAAGGTCAAGATTCAAAGGGTGTCTGTCCCTTTTTGGGAGTCTTCTGGGAGATTCTACAAGTTGTCAAAATGCCTTTTGATTTGTCTATTTTCCAGATGTAAATTATCCTTTAAAAACAAACAAACAAACAAACAAACCTGTTGTTTGGATCTTACTCATCTGTGGATTTTTCCTCTCCTTCCCTTTGTTCTCTTCCCTCTTCTTTACCTCTGTCTTTGCCTCTTCTTCCTCCTCCTTCTCCTCTTCCTTGTTGCTCTCTCTTTAACTTCTTATCATATGTTCCTTTTCTTGCTTCAATTTTGAGTTTTCACTGTTGTCCTTTGCTTCTTATCTACACTTAGGACTGCTTCACTTGAGTTCTTTTCACATGCAGATTCCTTTTGCAACAACAGGAAACCCTCTCTCCACATTCTAGAACAATTGTTAGGACCCTTGCTATACTATCTATTTTAATATTGTGACTTAACGGACATGCAGGAATATTATTCAAGTTTGAAATCGGCCTTTGTTTCAAAGGACAATTGGCAAAGGACCAGAACCTTACTTTCTCTCATGGTCTCCTTAACTGCATGGAAAACCTCAACCTGTGTCCAAAAGAATTGCTTTGCTAGATAAATTCTCCACTTTAAATTTACATATGGTCTGGCAAAACAGTAAAAAAAATACTTAGTCACCACACCTAAAAGCCAATTAGAACTTAATAAACCATTCACAGACAAAATAGTGTATTTTTAAAATCATGAATTCTGTGTCTGTATCATATGAGAGGTAGTTTCACTGGGCACATGGCATTTACAAATTCTGATTGGCATTTCCTTTACTGTTGAAAAGTGAACCTAGTTCAGTTTGCAGCAAATATGACAATAGGCTGTGCAAACGTATACCTAAAATGCAGCTCTGTGGGGGTTAAACATTCAAGCTTATATGAGACAGCATCAGTTTCAGGTCAAAGTGCTGTTCTTAAATGATCAGTATAGAACAGAAAAAAGGCATTGAAGCGACCTTGCTGAGGGTCTAAAACTGCACTGAAGGCTTTTCTGCATGATTAAGTGAGCAGAATCTTAGATTAGCTAAAAGCAGTGCAGAAACATAATGAGTTCACTTATTTTGGAGCATTTAATAACAGTTATAGACAGTTATGTGATCAGGCGGAGTTATGACTTATTCATTCTTTCATTGCTATTAAAATTACTGCATTTGAGGTTTTTAAAGTCATTGAAATAAAAAAAGTCTGATTTATGTTAGGAGAATTTAGCTTGCCCTTTGGTCTCTCAGTTTTTAAATGATATAATTAGACTTTTTAAAGACCATTCTAAAAGCATTATTAGCATTTTGTATAGCGGAAAGTAAATGCATGTTTTGTGGATAGCTTAATTTTAAAAGGGATAATAATACTTGAATCAGACAGTGATATTCATAGATTATTAAGGAAAGATTTTTTTGTTAAAATTTCTCAAAAGGCAATTGTATAATTTTAGTAATAGACTATACAGAATACATGTGGATTTTGCTGTGTGTACACACAGATACTCTCTTTCTAATGCACTCTCTAATTTCATTTTGAATGGACGTTACAAAGACATGGAAATAATACAACACAGCTTTCCTCCCATTTGGGAAAGCAAGGATGGGAAGAGAAAGTACCAGAGGATGTATTAACTCATGACCTTTAGCATATTTCCTCCAAAATTACAGAGCCATCTATCAGCCTGGGGGAAGAAAGCCAGCTTTAATCATAACAAAGAGATTTGCAGGTGGTTTGAATTAGCAGTAAACAACAATCACTAATAAATCATTTTAGAGGAACATGGAAATGTCATAGATGCATCAACATTTTAATATTATTGATTTTATTCTTAAACTTTTCTTACACATTTCATTGTATGCAAATATCATCTCCTGTCCAAATTGTTCCAAATTAGACATTGCTTCTATTTTAAAGTGGGTTATTGCAAAATGCATAAAATGCACCGACAAAACATATTTCATCATAAAACAGTGAAATAAAGTGCTGATTTTAGTTGGACACTACAGTAGGATTATTATATGTACACATCTTTGCCCATAAAATTGAGCTGACTGCAATCTCCTTAAATAATAGCTATTTGTGCCACGTGTGTGTTCTGCAAACACTTTGTATATCTCTTTTGGAGACTCAAAATGTAGTGCAGTACATTACTGAAGGATGCTGATAACATATTACTGAGGAGTAAACACAAAGAAGCTCTTTAAATAGCCAGCAATGGAGGATTACCCATGCGACCAAACGATGGCTCAAACTTAGATTTGTTAAAACATGCTACACACTCTTTTAGGTATATACACATTTATATATGAGTGTATGTATGGGTGTAGGTATATCCATGTTTATGTATGAATTTATATATGTGTGCATTTTTGCCTCCCTATTTTATTTGGATGTTTTTATTTTTATTTTAATTACTGCAGTTTGCCCTCTACCTGAGTAACCACTACCTGGTAAGTGAGTCCTTAGCCAGTCTGGAATAGCCAAGTGATCAATTCTGTTTGTCCTAGTTTGTTAATTGACAGGAAAAGGTGTCACTCTGTTTATAGGAGGGGAAGGTCAGGTTATTTGGGTGACAGCTGAGGGTCAGAACCGGGAAGTAGCAGCCTCCAGTGACTTCACAGCACTGGTGCTATTTGAGGAAGCTGCTCTGAAAACACTCACAGTTTCCTGACAGTGATGTTAACTCCTACCTGGACCATTTCCTAAGGGACAAGATGGACTGGAAACAAGAAACACATCAGGCCCGCTGACAGGGATGGTGGGGGGTGGGGGGGGGGGTTATTGCAGTGGTCTCAGACTCATGCAGTGCAGATTTGTGTCCACTAGAGACTGATAGCTGCCCAGCAAAGATGTTGCTTAAGGCTTCACAGTTTAGATTTGAACTGTGGTCTCAGAGGTGAGAGGCTAGCATTTCATCCACTAAGCCATTTAGCCTTTTCCTTTGAAGGAAGATTGATTTTAAAAAAGCTATTAACCTTCAGTGATGTATCTCATCAGATCATCTTCATTTTCTTCTGCTTATAATAAGACTATATTATATAGTTTTATTCTTCAGTTAATTCGACGGGACTAACTGAAAGGGAAATACACGAGAAACATAAAGAAGGGTGAAATAATAGAAAATTATCAGCAACACTGAAATGAAGATGTTAACAGGAAAAACAAAAGAAACTGAGCAAATGTTATCGCAGATCTCAGAGGTACAATCACATAAGACATCATGGTTCTTTGTAACTCAGTCTTACAGAAAAACTTTCCACATGTCACATTGATTCTAGGGCCATAGACCATGCTAATGATATAGGTATTACCTTCTCTTTTCTGGTAAAGAGACAAACGGGACAGGTTTTATTTTTTGCAGTAACTAAAATATAAGCTAAGGAACCAGTGATAATTAATTCACATTGAGTATATATTCAGAGGTGCACAAGAAACAGAAATTTTCAAAGAAATTGCATTAAAACACATTCTGTTCAGAGCCTGAAATTAGACATTTTATCTATTTTTAGTGAAAAATGTGAAAAATGTGTTAAGCAGTAACCTGTTCTGCTGTCTTATCCCGAGTCCCTTTAGAGTGAACTAGAAACTGGTCGCTTTCCCTACTGAATCATGTTTGATTTATTGCATTATATTGATTGAGTTTCTACTTTGGAAAAAGCATTACATTTTGTGAATAATGTGTTAACATTAATGACTTTAACTCATTCTCCATAACTTTACAACAGACACTAATTTACATTGCTTTTGGAGTACCTGATAGCAAAAGAAGTTTGGGCATTTTAATTTTTTTTGCATTTTAATTTTTTTTCAAGTATATTACCAGGCTGAGCAGGAGTAGTGAATGTAAGAACACACCATTAGGAAAAGCATCTGCTTTTAGGAGTGTGGGCCCCCTTTACCCCGGCTCCGCTCTGTCCCATCCACACGAGACACTCAGGTATGCACAATGAAAGTTAAACTGAAGGCTTACAATAACATTTCAATATTTGCTCAGACTAAGCAACAATACACATCAGTGTCTGCCATTTTCAGGGCTTATTTAACACTCATGGTTGAAATTCCTTTTGTTTCAGGTACTGTTAGTTTATTTAAGTTGATGTTTGGGCAGGTGAGGCTAGCTCAACAATGGCAAGTTCTGACAACTTATTTCTAAAGAAATCGAAGAAGCTGAGCTTGTCAAGCTCTTGTTCTGCATTTCCCGGACTGGTCAGTAAGTACGCCAAGTAAGAGGATTTGAAGCCAGAGAAATAAAAGACTAGAAAAATATTTGTGGTAATGAAGTCACCTTTGTCTGTGTTTTTTGAGCAAAGGAAAGTAATGATAAAGTAACTCTTTGGTAGCTGGTTATACATCCCCTTCCTATGTATTTCTCAGTATGCCATGACTAGGGCTAATAACATCTTTTCTCTAATATTTCAGCACCGCTGTAATTTCCTCACCCTACTGTAGTTAAATACAAAAGACACCTCACTTTTTCATATTGGGAGTAATCTTGGAATTGACATTTACAAAATGAATTTCGATAGGGATTTTAAAAAGCAGAGTTAGTGTTCACGGTGAATGAAACAATGAAGATACAAGGAGATAAAACTAGTGGTGCATGAAAGTGTGGTTCAGCTTTGAGGAAAGAAAAAGGTTTGAGGAAAAGGGACTTTGAGAAAGGGGGAGATGAAGGGATTGACTGTTGCCCTTACTTCCTGCTTCTCTTTGGTTCAACTCAAGTGCTAGGAAGGGACTCTGGGTTGCGTGGATCTATTGTCTCTCTGCCTCTTCTCTTGATTCCTTAGTGGGCAGAAGTCTGTTGGTTCTTCTCCTTCCTATCCTAACTCCAAGCCCACTGAAATAGTCACATCAATTGAACTTCCTGAGTGTGATTCTTTCCGTGATGACATGGCAGCTACAGTACTCTTGTGGTTCTTGGTTATTTCCTTTACCTTATCTATCAGGAAAAAGGAGTAAATGTGATAAGCCAAAATAAGGGATGATCAATTGTCCTAGATCTGAGAACTTTGATAAACTCTCGAAATATGTTTTGCATAATAAGCTCTTTGAATTTGGTGGCTTATGATAAAGTATCATATTTAAAAATCTATAAATTACATTTTTCTACAAAATTCATATTTTCTTATAGTTTTCAAATTGTTGCTTAGTATAGAACAATGTTGTCTTAATAATAGCAATTGAATGAATTAACTGGGTCTTACTGACACATCTTGACAGGATCTCCCATTCCGGATGTAAAATAACATGCGAGTCAAAATATTAAAATATAGTAGAAGATAGTGAAAAACTGAAGAATAAAACAAAAATGATGTGCAGATTTCTCTTTCCAGTGTATTAACCAAAGTTACATTACTTATCCCTCTCTGCTTAGATCTATTAAAATATTGTAGTAGATTTTTAAAAAGGTGGTAGGCCTCGGTTCTTAAGAGATGCTACTCATTTTAAACTCTGAGAAGGACTAGTAATAAATATAGAAAATTAAGATCTAAGGGTCCCAGGGTCCCAGGGTCCCAAAGCAAACATGCCCCGGAAATCTGCCACAGTCATCTATTTGGCGAAATGGCAAGGGATTTTGATGGGCAAGGTTCTAATGATCTAAGTCTTTTGTGTTGTCCTATATTCTCCTTGCACCAGCCCATACGTAAAAGGGGATTTCAGTTCCTGTTGGAGTTCTGAATTTTTGGCCTTCGATCTGATCCTTCGCCCTATTATTCCTCCCTTCACACTGCCACACCATTTCCATTTCCCCAGCTTCCGAAAGCATTGCTTGTTTTCTGCTTTGGATTTTTTTCCGGCTGTTCATGACTACGATCTTGGTTCTTCATAGGTGATCATTCAGGTCTTCCTGCCACCCTCCATTGTTCTTTCAACGTGCCTCAGTTCACTGGGTTATCTGTGATGCCTTCTGACTTTACACACTTCCAGACGAATTCAAGTAAATGTTGTCCGTTACCCTGTAGGTCATGTTCTTGCATAATTTGTCCCAGTCCCGAGAAGACAATCGCAATAACAAATTTCTGTGACTGTGTAAAATCAGTGGTTTGAAAGGGACTGACTCCACCAAATAGAAGGTGCTGAAAATATCTGTGAACTGAATGTTAATAATTTCTTAGTTAAGCTGTTAGATTAGATGCTAAGAGATGCTTACCTAAGATTGTAACAAGATTGTTTTTGGAATCTCTGGGCACATCCAGCCTCTTCCCCCTGTATCTTGGTGTTAGGCATGTCCTAGAGAGCTTCTAGTTAGCTACCATGAAATGTCATTGAGGTGGTCCTGGCAGAGTCGTGATTCCGCTGGTTAAACCTACTGCATATGCTAAACAGCATTGAACCAAACTAATTTGAGTAACAAATGAAAGAGAGAATCTGTTTCTAGTCAATTTTTGTTTCTCTTCTGAAAACTAGCATATGATTTTGAGAAGCTACTCATGCAAAATGATTAATTTGGGACCACAGAGAATGGAAAGTAATGCAGTCTTATGTAATTGGTCTTTTAAAGGAGAAGAATAAATGTATCATGCTTACCATGAACTGAAGAAGTACCAGTAACTCCCCCAAACCCATTTGCTTTATTACATGTCTTTTTCTGTTATTGACAGTTAGTATTGACTCATTTTTAATCAGGTGACACTTTGCACTCTTGCCACTTCTTGATTAATTGGCAGTAATTGATATGTTCTCCAGGTTGAGTCATAATTTTTGAACTTGGTTTTTACCCAGAGTTCTGAAGGGCAACATTTCTAAAGTCTGACTCAGTCAGTGAGTTAGTCAGGCAGATAGTTATTTAGAAAGTATATATTGAATGTCTACTATGTTCTAAGAAGTGTTCAGTCTAGGTGATACCCATTATTGAAGTTACAAAGCCATCAGATCAATTTGTGTATTATTTTGTCTAGATATATTTGAACACAATTTCTGTGCCATTCCCCTCTGCTCTCTGCCAAATCTAAGTTTCTTCTAGCCTCTTGCAAAAAAAATCAGAACTAATATTTTCTTTATAACTCCCTTGTGCTTTTCAGATCTTATTCGGACTTATAGCAGTTTGGAAGCCAGGCAGGGTTTTTTCTAGAGTGAATGTAATTTCCTCATAAGGCAGCAAGGTAGTTGCTACAGTTTTAATAAGTTTTAATCAGTTTTAATCTTTAATTTCTCAGCGAGTCTAGTTAACTCTGGATGGGTTATTAACAGCATGAATCACATACATACAATGTGACCGAGAACAAAAGCTGCCCCCGGTGGACAAGGTACCATCATTGTAACTTTTCCTAGTGACGGTTCCATTAAACTTCAGGGCTCTTATGCCAGTGAGGTGACCCAAACCAACCCAATTTACAGATTGGGCCCTACCTGGCCTATGATAGTTGAGTTTAGCCCAAACTCTAAAGTATCCTCCTATGGTATAGTCCTCAATTTCCAGCTTCCTAAAGGATGGTTCTCACTTCTCACATTCATAATGCAAACTAGCCATGCTTGAAATGAAAGGTTATTGATGGAAATTAAGAACTGCCCATGACAGCGCAAAAAGCCATGTTAAAAGACAAGTGCAAATAAATGATGATATAAGAGCCTGGTGAGTTTGACTGTTTACCAGAAACAGCTCTGCAAATATTGCTGGTGGAAGTTTATTTTTCACCTGGCCTTTCCCTGTCCCTCTTCTAGGGGCATAGAAAGTGAGCATTAGGTTAAGAGAAGTAATAAAAAGAGAAAACAAAACTGTAAACTCAATTAAATGAAGACTTGTCTTCAACTGTAAGTGGCAGATGTATTTATCCGGGGTGATTTTGTCCCAGTTACAAAGGTATCAGCCCAATATTACGCCCGGGCTTTCAGCCATCTCTCAGGTCGAGTGAATTTGTGAGTATTAAACACACAGTGAGATGTTCAGTTTTCAGTGTAGTTTCTAATCAAATATTTAAACTTTGTGTGTAAAAATAACCCGATCAGAGTAAATTTTTTCTCTTCAATAAAACATAATAGAAGAATTTAACCACATGGAAATACTGGTTGGGTTACCGTGTTCAGAGGATTAAGCATCATTGCTTTTAATGAAATTCTAGTTTTTTAAAAAAGGTAGATAGAAATAGATGTCTTAGAATATCGTATAATAAATTCCTTTTAACCGATTCATATCCAGTGAGAAGTGTCAAATTTGAGTGCTTTCTCTTCCTGCTTTCCTATTTCCCATTCTCTGGGTCACTTTAGTTCCCCCTTACAATGTTTTCTAACTTCTGCCTGCTCAGTTCAGCCTGCACCCTCTAAGTGGCCCTCCTGCCTTCCTGTACTCACCTGTCACAGAAACTTGCTCACCCTCTCTGCACACCACTGTAACAGTGCCTCCCCCCAACAGGTGCTGTGTGTCTTCTTTGGCCTACTGTTTTGTAGGGCTCTAGGATTTATCCAGGCTTCTCTCAACCTGTGTCCCACTTTCTCCATAAGCTGTGGCTTCTTTATCCACTTCTATCCCCACCACTTCCATGATTCAGCTCTCTCCCCAGGCCTGTGGCTGCACTGCACTTCCTTCCCTCACTGACTGTTTTTCTTCCTAGCTTCTCACTGTCCCACCCACAGTTATCTGCTTCTACCCAGCCACTTTGGCCTAATTGTTCAATCCAGACACACATACACAGTTTTTGACAATTGTTTTGGTAGTGATGGGGTTTCACTATATTGCCCAGGATGGTCTCGAACTCCTGGGTTCAAGTGATCCTCCTGCCTTGGCCTCCCAATGGACATGTCTGACTACCTAGCCTTCTCATTCTGTTTTATTTTTGGCCTTTTGACTTCATAATACTTTTTCTTCATTCTTTTCCTACTTCTGAACTGCTGACAGTGATGTGCTGGTGAATATCTAATAACCATTTTTCTGGAGAGGAAAAAGAAACCTCTGACATAGAATGTTTTCTGACTTCTTTGGTGTAAATACTCTCACCATGGTCCATTTCGTGGTCCATTCAGTGTGACATCACTGAATGAACAGTTGTCTTTATCTGGTGCCAGTTGACTCCAGCACATCACTGAGCCTTGGATTTCTTGATAGCTTACCCTTGAAAGAGAAGTTCTCTGAAAAAGGGGTTTGCAAATTGGAGTGGATGTGTCCCATGGAGTTCTACAAGATAATCTATTGAAACATGAGAAGAAGTATATTAGAACATATGTATTACAACATATTAGAAATTATGTTTACATTTAATTTCTAGCTGATCTTTATCAAACGTTTAGTTTTATGGGCTTATTATGAGTATATTAGTACAGCCTATGTATGTTATATGCTTATGATGTGTGTATGTATAAACAACTTACATTAATTGGAGTTTTACTAGATACTAGGCTTATGTTAGGTTATTTAATCCTTACTATATCCTGTAAGATAAGTACTGAAGTCCAGAGAAGTTATGTAGCCTGCTGAAGATCAAGTGTAATATAAAAGTACATAAATACAGTATACTGATGGTGCATCCTCAAATTTTTTTTAAACTGAGGAGTTAAGTGATCAAAATATTTTGGAGGTTGTGATCTGCAGCTTGGCTTGCTTCTCACTCTATTTACTCCTACCAGATTATCTTAAATGTACTATGGTTTTAACAACCATTCATAAGCATTTGATTCCTTTTTTTCCACCTCCAGCCCTGGAGAGCTTCAGACCTGAATTTCCAAAGCCTTCTGGTTACTTCCACTTTAATATGTGGAAGACATAATGAGAAGACTTTGAGGCTCACGTATTGAATTTTTGCTAGTATAATTGATTCTAATTATAAAGAAAGTTAAATTTTCAGAAAAAATGTAAAAACATAACATTAAAAGATATCACTTGTTGTAATACATATTTATGAAAAACTGTTTTGCAGGGCTCTAAGAAGTTAAATCAAATACATTCTGGATTTCAGTTTCCTCATCTGTAAAGCAAAATAGTTGGATTTAATGGTGGGTTCCTTGAAACTCTTTTTGTCTTTGATTCCTGGTAATACCACACTCTATTGGTGATTTTAGTGTAAAATGATGCTTTCCAGTTAAATTGCCAATCAATGGCAATTCACTGGTTTGTGGACTCCTGTGCTTAATAAATGGAATTCTAATTTTTCTTAACCTTAAATTAACTTCTTTAAAAACAGATATATGTGACTGTTTTAGAGATGACCTCTGACTTCTGACTTGGAAATGACTCTTAATTTCAACATAATAGGTCTCAGATGAAAGATTCTTTAAATATCTTAGCAATATCCAGATTGACAATCTCTGAGACAATTTATGGTAAGCTATTTAGGAAAAAATGCAATATGCCCTTTGCACTTACTATAGGCATGAGGGATATCTGGGTCTGTAAAACATTTGGTGATTGCTAAGCTTTTGACACTTACCTGGAAACTTGGATGTATTATTGTCTCAAAAAGACAAAAAAAAATCAAAATGTAAAGGGGTAAGAAGAACATAATATTGAAGATTTATTTCACAATCTGTTTTCAAAGTTCCAACTAGTTTTAATGTACTACAGTTTTCCTTGTGATAGGCTCTTTTTCTTCTTTTATATGTTCAATATTCCTACTTTCAAAAAAAATTGAGGATTCTTAGAGCAAGAATATTTATGACTCTAGAAAAGATAAACAGAGCGAAAGGTAAAGATTTTATTTTTTCACGTGTACAGACTTACAAGATGTTGAAAAAATAAGTTTTATAATTTTTTATTAATTTGGCAATATACAAAATGGTAAAAGTAGAGACTTTGCATCTAGATAATGCTTAAAACTTGCAAAGTTTTAAGTTATTCACTTAGCGAATTGGATTTTTTTCATTGATGTATCTGAACTTTACGAGGCAGCTGTATAAATTAATCTCTCATTACCTACAGATGAAGCCTATTATTTTTCCAGCATTTTTTTTAGTCAACAGTTTAAGCAAATTCAGTTGGCTGTGAAATTGAAAGACTCCTTTTAGATTTTGGTGTGTGTACTGATATGCACAGAAGGTGGAGAAAATGTTTGCTCTAAAAAATGATATACTCATGATAAGATGCCTAAATATACTGAGCCATTTCTGAATGTATGTTTGCAATTACCAACACTTACTGTCCACCTCCTACAGAAATTCCTACTTGTTCCACATTCATAGTTTATCTATTTATAAAAGAGGGATGGTGGGAGCTGGGAAGAAGAGTTATGAAGGGAAATTAAACCACACCTAAGGAAGATCTTAAAATTCCATTGACTTGTTTGGCACTAGAGCTGTGTGAAAGTATTTTTAATCCACAGAGATTTATGCAAATCATTTTAAAGTCCTAGTCATGTGATGTCATATCTCTTAGATGTTATCAGAAATTTTTATTTGTATCAGCTGAAATTCCCAGAGCTAAATTTAAAAATGTCTGAAAGGTACCAGGAAGATTATGTGTTTAGGTGATATATGTATTAAAGGCAGGAAAATGAATTTGATAACTGTCTTTTGTTTGTTTGTTTTAAAATTACAAGAATAGTACTTTATTTTTTCTAAAAAAAATCAAACTACATAGAATTATATTAAGTAAGAGCCCAAAGTTTCACACATCCACCACTAGAGTTAACCAGTACTAACACTTTTCCCTTTTTAAACAAAAATTAATCTATAGTTATTGTTGTATGACTTTCTTTTATTTACTTAAGAATTGGCCTCTTTCCAGATCTGTACATCTAACTCATACCAAATATATGTTTATCCATTTCTGTATAGTAGGACGTTTAGATTATTTCTAATTTGAAACCATTACCAACTGTAATAAATATTCTCATTCTTATATCTTAATTCTTTTATGCTGGTATTTCTGAAGGCTTGGGTATAAAAATATGGTTGTTGAGTGTATTTAACATTTGTATTGGTGCTCTCATAGAAGGACTTTACATAACCTTCTGATTCGAAAATCTTGCACTTCTACACATATCTAAAAAACCTGGATTGGACACCAAATGGAGCTAAACTAGGCTTGGTCTTCAAAACAAAGGATGTTCATGTTTTTGCTCATTGGGTTTAACTGCCTGACAATCAAGAGCCAACTTTGTGAACGAAGGCAATACGTATCTGTTGAAATGAAAATCACTGAATCACTTATGCAAGTTTAATTTGGCTTTCTGAATATTTTTTAACATCATTCAAAAGGAAACTATAAATAATCTTCCTTGAGTATAATCTTTCTCTTAAGGAAAATAATACACACCTCACAGATTGGGTATGTTATTGCCTGCTGCTATTCCTGATTTATATCAGTGCTGTTTTGCATTTTTATACTCTGTAGAATACTTTGTGAGTTAATAAATTTGCATTGGCACATTATGGGTTTATCACAAGTAATGGAGACAAAGCCCCAGGGCAACTGGGCCAAAAGAAACCACGTGGAAATTAGTGTAAAGTTTGCGATGAATCAATATCACTGAGAACAAATCTATTCTCTGCTAATTCTCGCTGTTTTCTGAGCTGATTCTGTTGTCCCAGATCAATTCAGGAACACAAAAATAGTTTTTGGCTTTTCCTTCCTATGTTTTAGGCCAAAAGGATTACTTACCCGACTACTTCATCTGGTGGTTTAATATATTGAGATTGAGGACTCAAAGGGACAAGAGAATACCAGTAACAACTATGATTTTTGTCATTGTGGTTCTGAGAATTAGCAAGTTCCATAGGCCAATGGATCAGGGCTCTCGGATAGAACCAAGTGCTGGTGACCTTTCATGCCCTTCTTCAGGGAAATTGTTTCATCGCACTGATGATTTTATCCTTCCAGACTCCCAAGGATGCAAGCAACAGACACTCTTATGGCCTAGGCACACAAAGGGAAATGCTTGGATGAACACCTGTTGTCCATGTCACTTAGTAGTTAATTTTTATACCTTTTCAAAGAGCTCATTTTTATCACATGCAAAATTAATGCTTTGAGTTTTTGTAGGGGAAAGTAATGAACAAATTGTTTTCTAGCACTGTCTTATCATGTCATATGATGACCTCAAATTAAGCACTGGTTTGGCCCTAGGCTGTGCAATCAAGGCCCCAAATTTCACTGCTGTGTTCAAACTTAGAAAATGCATCAAGTGATCTAGAGTGGTTCTTTGTTTATATGACAAAATTATTATTTTTTTAATCTGGCTCTGCATTCTACTTTCAGAGGGAATTGGAGCACTTTGTTACTAGTAATCACTTTATTCTGACCACAGCCCCAAGCTGAAGGAGCGAAGTCCCTTGTCTGAACTCTTGGGGTAGTTTCAAGCTGCTCTTTTTGCTTTTGTCTAGTTTCCATGGTTACTGAATCCTCTTTATACCAAACTAGTTGGTCATGTTACTCCAGTGCTTATTGGCTCCCTTTTAACTGTAGGATAAAGTTCAAACTATCGTTATACCAGACAAGGCCTGCCATGATCTCAACTCTCTCCAAGCCTTTTCTTTCCAAAAAAACCCTTTGCCCTGTAAGTTCCAGTCATGCAGACTGGAGTTCCCAGAACCCTCCAGGGTCACAACCTCTTCCACACAGCTTTTCCAAAATACTTTTAATCTGAATTGCCTTTCTTCACCCTGACACTCCCCTGGGGAACTGGCCACTCAGTTTTTTTGTGTCCATCTATGTCTGTGAGTATTTTAATTATCACAACTGTAATTTCTTGTTAGGTATATTTGCTTAGAGATCTGTCTTACGTTTCTGTGCTGTAAGTGCTTCATTGACAGAACTAAGGGTCTTCATTTTTATATCACCATGTCTAGTGTAGAATAGGCAATGACTTGTAGGCTTAATAGCTCATGAATAAATTTTAATACCTCCATTGTAACCAAAGGAAAGTCATGCCTAGTTTATCAGAGTCATAAATAGGATGCTGTATATATGTGCTGGTTTGTATTCCAAAACAGATTTAAGGAATTCTTTAAAATTCTGCACATTAACCAGGATGATAAATAAATACCAGTGGACATTAAGATTAAATTAAGAGTAATTACAGAGCCATGATTAAAACTCTGAGTACACTTTGGCTTTAGCCATAAGCAAATGCAGGCTTAAATTATAGTGTTAGGAAGAGCCAGAAGTAGACTAGACTAGAGACTCTAAAGAGCAATCTGGCACCTACTAAAGGAGTCATGGCATTATAAAGAAGATAGGCATAGAAATTAGGGAAAATATTTTGAAGGGAAATGTCCATCAGTGAAATAAAGTACATTAAGAGCATGAAATTACATTCATAAGGTTAAATTTATCTAAGTTTCATAGTCCATACAGCTTAGAATAATAACATCTCACTGTTATTGCCAAAGGTCTGAGAATACACATGTATTACCATTGGATATTAAATTAAAATTCTTACTTTACAGAGGTTTCCAGAGATCTTTGGCTTAACATTTTGAAACCTCTTTTTTGGAGGCCTGCCATCAAGTATAGTGTGAAAGACAAATAAGATATGTATTCATTCAAGGAAATAAGTTATTTTCTGTCAATAAGGGAAAAACAATAGGTGTTTGATTTGCTTTTCTTTGGAACACAATTTTACCTAATTATCCATGCTGTTTAAATGTTGTATTTGTAAGACAATTAGGACCTCACAGTTTGGAAATGTCAGAGGGACTGAGAGATAAAGGAACTGTGGAATTTTAATGGACATGAAAGAATGAAAGCCAAGATATTATTTTAAATCACAGAAATTATTGTATTTTACATTAAAAAAATCATTGGTAATGAGAACTCTAAATGATAGAGTTTTTCCTGCTATCAAATTTAAATAATTATCCTTCAATCACTGGGAGAAGATTGAGTATCTGGATTTAATGTAGAAAAAGCTTAGAAGAAAACTTGAAATTTAAATTCTGGGTGTAACCTTAAACACTTTCTAAACAATTAAGTTACAGTAAGTACAAGAACAAGAGTAGTTAAAATTTATCATGATCGGAGATTATCTGATTTGCATAAGCTCTTACTAAAATACTGTTAATGTGCTGTAATCTCAGCACTTTGGGAGGCCGAGGTGGGTGGATCACGAGGTCAGGAGATCGAGACCATCCTGGCTAACATGGTGAAACCCCATCTCTACTAAAAATACAAAAAATTAGCCGGGCGTGGTGGCAGGCGCCTATAGTCCCAGCTACTTGGGAGGCTGAGGCAGGAGAATGGCGTGGACCTGTGAGACGGAGCTTGCAGTGAGCCGAGATTGCGCCACTGCACTCCAGCCTGGGTGACAGAGCGAGACTCTGTCTCAAAAAAAAAAAAAAAAAAAAAAAAATACTGTTAATGTGAATGACTCCCAGGTAAAAGAAAGATACATATATCATGGGATATGATAGCTGCTTTCAGAGGTGATAATCAATTACAGTTATTTATTTCTTAAAGTTTTGAAAGGAGGCACAAAATTAAGTGACACTCATGAAAAGCTCTAATTATATTTAAGGCAAATAGTAGCTTAAGAACCCACGTTACCTTGCATATATTACTAGACCGTTTTTTTGTTGTTGGGAGTTAAGGCTGATCTTCGAATACATATTCTAAATTTCAGCTAAAATAAATGGAGATCCTTGATGGTATTTGTTCATCGGGCAATCATTGGAATTTCCATCTTTCAAGAAAATGTGTTTTCTCCATTTCAAGCTAATAGAACTTTTATATTGACTCAGCTGTGGGAAAGGAAAATGGGAAACATATGACCAATTTATTTCCAATTTATTTGAACATTGTGAGTAAAAGAGGTTTTTAATTCAGAGTTTAAAGGAAACTCCACCCACAAAATTCTTCAGTAGGCTATGGAGCTGAGATTTCCTACAATAAACTCTAACAAGACTGTCTGTTGCCAGGTGTAGATAATAGCCCATGTCTTTTCTCCTAATATTTGTCATCTTTCTTTATACATATTAGAGATGAGGAGAGATGAATTTGGTGGAGACAGTGGCCTAGAGATGAGAAGAAGCTAAATTTCCACTGATTTCTTTGGATTGATTTCGAGCCAAGTGAAAAGTGTTAAAGGTCGTAGCTGAAATTCCCATTTAGTAGAGATTTTATAAGATTGGCCTCAGGGCAACTTTAGGAACCCAGGCAACCAACTTTGAAGTGGCATTGTAGAAAACACCCTTACCTTTTTGTATGCATGGTGCCCATCGGCTCCTGGAAAATGACATCCTTTTGGGTGAACACAGAAATTGCACATAAGCCATGGTCATGGCTTTCTTATGCCAGTGAGCATTGGGTAGTGAAGCTTCTCTGGAAGTCTTGGCAGCACATGTTGACCAGTGAGAGTAAAGCAACCTCTGAGAGATGGGACTAGTACAGCAGGATGACTAGGGTGCACAAAGAACCTTGGGAGGCAGTACCCTGGTTACTTCTAGAATCACTGTGTGAGATCATTGTGGAGGAGGTATAGTGGAGAAGGATTCAAGCCTTTTTATGATATGAGCAGATGCATGTAACTCAGTCACACCTTTGAGCTACAAAGGCATAAGGAATGTTTTTTCTTCCCATTTAAAAATGATTTAATGTTTGCTACATGCAAAAGTGAGTGTGTGTACACAGTCATTTTTTATTATCACAGATTCCATATTTGCAAATTTGCCTAATCACTAAAAGTTACTGAAACCTCAAAATCAATGTTTGTGGTGCTTTCTTGGCATTTGTAGGCATATAAACAGTGGTAAAAAAATTTGAGTCACCTGACATGTACGTTACTAGCTGAGATTGAACAAGGTGATACTCTGCTTTCTTGCCTCAGCATTCGTAATGTAAGTGTCCTTTCTGAGGTCTATTTAGTGCCATCTTTTTTGAATTTTTGTGCTTTTTGTTGGTGATTTCCCTGTTTAAAATTGTCCCTAAGCATAGTGCTGAAGTGCTGTCTAGTATTCCTAAGCACAAGAAGGCTGTTATATGCCTTACAGAGAAAATACGCATTTTGGGTAAGGTCTGTGCAGGCATGAATTATAGTGCTATCAGCTGTGAGTTCAGTGCTAATGAATTAACAGTGTGTCAGGGAGGAGGAGGTTGCAATAAGCCAAGATCGTGCCACTGCACCCCAGCCTGGGGGACAGAGTGAGATTACGTCTCAAAAAAAAAAGTTAAAATAAAATAAAATGGTGTCTTTACACATAAACAAACATAAAATAAGGCTATGTATTGATTTGTTGATAAAAATGTGACTAGAAGCTTGCAGGAACTTAACTATCCCTTAGGAGCAATGGTTCAGTATTTGCTAATTCAGTGTTAGCTGTGGCTTTATAGAACACAACTACTTTATGAATCTGGGTGCTCCTGTATTGGGTGCATATATATTTAGGATAGTTAGCTCTTCTAGATGTGTTGATCCCTTTACCATTATGTAATGCCCTTCTTTGTCTCTTTTGATCTTTGTTGGTTTAAAGTCTGTTTTATCAGAGATTAGGATTGCAAAGCCTGCTTTTTTTTTTTTTTTTTTGCTTTCCATTTGCTTGGTAAATATTCCTCCATCCCTTTATTTTGAGCCTATGTGTGTCTTTGCACATGAGATGGGTCTCCTGAATACAGCACACCGATGGGTCTTCACTCTTTATCTATTTTCCCAGTCTGTGTCTTTTAATTGGGGCATTTAGCCCATTTACATTTAAGGTTAATATTGTTATGTGTGAATTTGATTCTGTCATTATGATGCTAGCTGGTTAATTTGCCCATTGGTTGATGCTGTTTCTTCATAGTGTTGATGTTCTTTACCATTTGGCATGTTTTTGCAGTGGCTGGTACTGGTTGTTCCTTTCCATGTTTAGTGCTTCCTTCAGGAGCTCTTGTAAGGCAGGCTTGATGGTGACAAAATCTCTTAGCATTTGCTTGTCTGTGAAGGATTTTATTTCTCCTTTGCTTATAAAGCTTAGTTTGGCTGGATATGAAATTCTGGATTGAAAATTCTTTTCTTTAAGAATGTTGAATATTGGCCCCCACTGTCTTCTGGCTTGTAGGGTTTCTGCAGAGAGATCCGCTGTTAGCCTGATGGGCTTCCCTTTGTGGGTAAACTGACCTTTCTCTCTGGCTGCCCTTGACATTTTTTCCATCATTTCATCCTTGGTGAATCTGACGATTATGTGTCTTGGGGTTGCTCATCTCAAGGAGTAACTTTGTAGTGTTTCTGTTTCTATATTTCCTGAATTTGAATGTTGGCCTGCCTTGCTAGGTTGGGGAAGTTCTCCTGGATAATATCCTGAAGAGTGTTTTCCAACTTATTTCCATTCTCCCAGTCACTTTCAGGTACACCAATCAAACGTAGATTTGGTCTTTTCACATAGTCCCATATTTCTTACAGGGTTTGTTCGTTCCTTTTTATTCTTTTTTCTCTAATCTTGTCTTCTTGCTTTATTTCATCAAGTTGATCTTCAATCTCTGATATCCTGCCACTTGATCGATTTGGCTATTGATACTTGTGTATGCTTCATGAAGTTCTCATGGTGTGTTTTTCAGCTCCATCAGGTCATTTATGTTTTTCTCTAAACTGTTTATTCTAGTTAACAATTTACCTAACCTTTTTTCAGGTTCTTAGCTTCCTTGCATTGGGATTGAACATGTTCCTTTAGCTCGGAGGAATTTGTCATTACCCACCTTCTGAAGCCTACTTCTGTCAATTCATTAAACTCATTCTCCATCCAGTTTTGTTCCCTTGCTGGCAAGGAGTTGTGAACTTTTCAAGGAGAAGAGGCATTGTAGTTTTTGGAATTTTCAGCCTTTTTGCGCAAGTTTCTCCCCATCTTTGTGGATTTATCTACCTTTGGTCTTTGATGTTGGTGACCTTCAGATGGGGGTCTCTGAGTGGACGTGCTATTCCTTTCTGTTTGTTAGTTTTCCTTCTAACAATCAGGCCCCTCATTGCAGGTCTTCTGGAGTTTGCTGGAGGTCCCCTCCAGACCCTGTTTACCTAGGTATCACCAGCGGAGGCTGCAGAACAGCAAAAGGGTTCACTAATTTTCACTGCTATAAGGAATTCCATTGTATAAATATACAACATTTATACATTTTCTTATTGTGATAGCTATTTTTTTTGTTTGTTTTTTGAGACAGAGCCTCCTTCTGTTGCCCAGGCTGGAATGCAGTGGTGAAATCTTGGCTCACTGCAGCCTCGGCCTCCCAGGTTCAAGTGATTCTCCTGCCTCAGCCTCCTGAGTAGCTGAGATTGATTATAGGCATGCACCACCATGCCCCACTAATTTTTTTTTTTTTTTTGTATTTGTAGTAGAGTTGGGCTTTCACCATGTTGGCCAGGCTGCTCTCAAATTTCTGACCTCCAGTGATCGGCCTGCCTCGGCCTCCCAAAGTGCTGGGCTTACAGGTGTGAGCCACTGTGCCTGGCCTGTGATAGCTGATTTTATGTGTCAAACTTGATTGGGCCAAAGGGTGCACAGATCTTTGGTCAAATATTATTCTTGGTGTGTCTGTGAGGGTGTTTGTAGATGATATTGACATTTTAAAGGTGGGCTGAGTGAATAAGAGTGCCCTCACTAACGTAGGTGGGCCTCATCTAACCAAGTGAAAACCTGAATAGATCACGAAGGCTGAATAAGAGTGAACTCAGTCTGCCTGACTGCTGGAGTTGATCTTTGCCTTTAGGCTCAAACTAAAAAGTTATGTCTTTTTGAGTCTCAAGCCTGCCAGCTTTTGGGCTTACACCATCAGCTCTCCTGATTCTCTGACCTTTGGAGTTGGACTATACCTACTTTGTTGACTCGCCTGGGTCTCTAGCTTCTTGATTATAGATTTTGGGACTTTTCCACCTCCATACTCCCAATTACCTATGAAAAATCTCTTTATATATTTATTATGTATTTCATACCTGGCATTTGTTTAGTTACTTTTGCATTCATTTCATAAGTGAATTGGCCTATAATTTTCTTTTTACACTTTTTATATTACCTTTATCTGATTTGATATCAAAGATATACTGAGCAAATAAAATAATTTAGAAAATGTACCCTCTTTTTCTCTTTTATGGAAGAGTTAGTCTAAGATTAAAATTGTTTATTTACTGAATATTTTGCAGAGAATTTATATAAAATAATCTAAGCCTAGTGTTTTCTTTTGAGAAAATGTTTCAATTTCTTTAGTCGCTTATGTCATTGACAGTTTCTATTTCTTCTAGAGTCAGTTTTTTGAAGTATATTTTTTGTAGGCATATGTTCATGTTTAATTTTTCAAATTTAATGATATATACTAGTTTATAGTTTTCTATTATTTATTTTATGTCTATTGACTCTAATTATGCATTCTTATTGATTACCTCTGCTCCTTTTTTTATAATCTCTCTTGCTAATGGTTCATTAATCTTATTTGTTTTTCAAAAAGCCGGTGTTTGGATTCTTTGATCTTCTCTACTGTATCTTTATTTTTTCTTTCATGAATTTCTGCCCTTATTTAAAATTATTTCAAAGTCAAGTTATTAGATGCATAAATGTTTAAAACTTTAGTAACTTCTTGGCAAAGGGACTATTATATTATTATATAATGATTCTCTTCATTACTAGCAAAGCTATTACCTTTAAATTTATTTCATTTTATATTATAATAGAGCTGCACAATTACTACTTTTCTATTGTTTACCTTTCAATATTTCTATGTCTTCATGTTTCAATCATCTCTTTTATAAGTTTTTAAACCATAATTTGAATATCTTATTCTTTTAACTAAATAACATAGTTTACATATATTTATTGTGATTATTGATATGGATTAATTTTTACCATCTTATTTCTATGATTTTCTTTGCTATATGATTTTGGACTGAGTTATTTTCTCATTTTTTAAAAATATAAGCTAGGTCTTTATACTTTTACCTCACTCAGTCACCAGAGATGGGTTCTTCTGGGAAGGGCATGACCTTGGGTGAGGTGGCTCTCTGTAATTGAGGTGCATTCTGAAGGCCGTTGACTGGCTACACTTTCTGTAGTTTGATAGCACATCCTACCTTCAAGGGGGATCTGGGGAGTGTATTTCTGTGTCTACTACATTGTGAAACAAATGTGGGAGTTTTGAGATAACCCATAGGAAGTTTGTATATGTTAAAAGAGAAGAGGATTAAAGATCAGACCCCTGGCATTTGCGGGGTAACTCATGAAAAATAATACGATATTTGAGAAGGAAAGGCCAGAAGAAAGAAGGTCCTTTTCTTGAGGTTTTATAATAAAAATAAATGTTCGAAAATGACAAAACCTACATTATAAAATGGAAACTGCATTACATTCAGCATAATGTTAACTTAATCATGAATGCAGATATATAAATCATAAATGCTCTACATAATAGTTCTCTATCAACCACTAATTCTGCTTCTTTAAGAATCAGTAAAATGCTTAACCAACTAGGCATAAATAAAATGTCTCCATTCTGCTATTTATTTCTGTTTTTATTGTCCTGAATTTGTTCTCTGTATATAACTTTATTTTTTTCTACATTGTTTTGCAAAAATGGTTATTGCCTTGAATCATGGATTTTAATACTAATTAAGATATTTCTCAATATTTTAGTTGAAAAAATTATCAAAGTTCAGACTTTATTAGCTATAAAGTCTAAACTAACTGCATTTCCAAAGTTTTGCTTCCTTATAATACATTCCTCAAAATTCCACCCATCAATTTATTATTGCCCTGAAGATTACTTTGATCTATATTTGTGAGTTTCTTGAACTCTGTCCTCTGTCTGTGATCTGATATCCAGCGCTCTATGTCTGTTGTCTTTTTCTGTTGACCTGCAGTGCCTTGTTCTAGCTTTTGATTGGAAGGCCAACATACTGAATAAATCTGTGCTGAAAAGTAATTTCCCAAACTAAAGATTTTCTGCTACTTCCTGTTTAACAGTATTAAATAACTTCCACGGCCACAGACATATGGAGTTTCATAATTCTATTTCAAATCCACTATCATTCAAGCTACATAAGACCTATGGAGCAGATGTTTTGCCAATTCTTTGATTAAGTTTATGGTCTTATTCTAGAGAAGAACCCTTGAAATTTAAAATAACTGCCAAGATTTTGAGGGAAGTGGCCTCCAATCTTTCTTTGTTCTCTTTTTTTCTTTTTCTTTTTTTTTTTTTTTTTCGAGAAGGAGTCTTGCTCTGTCACCCAGGCTGGAGTGCAGTGGCGTGATCTCGGCTCACTGCAAGCTCCACCTCCCGGGTTCACCCCATTCTCCTGCCTCAGCCTTCTGAGTAGTTGGGACTTCAGGCACCTGCCACCATGCCTGGCTAAGTTTTTGTATTTTTAGTAGAGACGGGGTTTCACCATGTTAGCCAGGATGGTCTCGATGTCCTGACCTCGTGATCTGCCCACCTTGGCCTCCCAAAGTGCTGGGATTACAGGCATGATCCACTGCCAGTCTTTCTTTGTTCTTATCCCTGCTATGGCTTATTTCACATGCATTTAGTCAGATGAACCCAGGAAGGCTTGTCACGACTATTTTACCATAGATTAGTGCCAGGTGCAAAGATTTATGGACTGGAAACGAGCAAGCCTGCCCACCACTGTGGGTGCTGAAAGACTGACCTAATCAAATCTTCTGTCTTAGGAAGTTTGGGAGCCACAGATGTATAAGAACATGTGTGTAAATATTGTTGATCATTGTCAAGCAGTGTCTCCACTGCCCCAAAGTTGCCTACTCTAGGTACAGACCTTCAATTAAATGTTAGGAGAGTGCAAGGACCTCGAGATTTAGAGAAAAAATGACAAACGAGTAGATTCTAATGCCAATTCTGTTAATTACTTGTTGTGGGTTTGAGGAGCAGAAATAGCATGAATAAAAAATTCATTGTTCAATAATTATGTGTCTATAATCAATAGTAGCTATACCTTATAAAGCTGCTGAAGTCTATTTTTCAATTTGTAAAAGATTGTTGTGTTATAATGATTATGATGTGTGAAAATAACGTAACTTCCCTGATTCTCTTCATATGTACAGGTAGATAGACAATATTGTTTGGCTTTTCTAACATTTGATTGATGGTCCATAATCACAGGTGACATTCCTGGGTACTTAATCCTTTCAAACTCATCTCTTTCTCATTCTTCTTATCCTTTTCTTCCCAATCACTTTCTTTCATTATATTCTCAATCACTTCTTTTTATTGTATTTTCCAACTTCTCACTTTTCTCTTTCTTTAGAATTTCTCCTTTTGCCTTTGCTTTTGGTCTACTAGTAACACACTAAGACATGTGGTGACACTCCAGTCTAAGATAGACCATGACTCATGGACTACAAGGCATTTTGAGTTTCTTACCAAAAATCACAGTAAAAGTGATTATCATAGAAAAAGAATTTTAAAAATTTAATTTGCATTGATAGAAACAGCAAAAGACAAGAACTTAAGCCAGCTTTGCCTTTGATTTTTTGTTGTATTTTCCCTATAGTGCATATTTGGAGGTCACACTGGGTAGAGAGGACCTGCAAAATACAGTTAAAAATTCCATTACACAGGTTGGAAAAAATAAATGAGGACACTTGAGTTGTTTTCCGATAGAATTTCACACACTTTTATCATATCACTTTCATCCTAGGCCGCAAACCTTCCTCTGGCACTAAGAGAGGATGTGGGTTGCTTGGAATCTGCTCCAGACTGTCACTTCACTTAGCTGCCACAGAAAGACATTCCTTCTTAGTCATAACAGATCCATAGGGTCATATTTTTAGTTCATATCTCCTTCAATGAACGCATGTACTTGCTACTACTAGCAATACTGCATTAGCATCCTGAGAAGGATAGACGTAGGGTGGGGCTTTCCTTTGTCAAATTTGAAAGTCCAAAAATGATGTTTCCAGAAACTTTGGTAAAACTTGGCCTTCATAGAATTTGTAACAATTATATTATAAGACAGTAATAAAAAGTCATGTCAATAAGTTCAGTCTGTGTTCTCAGAATGCCTGCGGTAAGCAGTCATAATTCTGTGGTTGGCAAATGTAATGCTACCATGCAGTTATTAAAATCCTTCTCAATAAATTTTATTTCCACAGGAAAATGTGTTAAAAAGATACCTAGGTTGTACGTGATGATGGTTTGTGAAGATAAACTTTGTATCCCTCGCTTGTAACAACAGGTGCTAGTTCTTTATCATTCTTGGGTGGTTATATCGCTTGACTGGAATAGAATTTGGGAGATTGATTCATATTCTACATTGGTAGTTTCTTTATTGCCTCATCTGGGAAAGTAATTATTTCTCTCTAATACTTATTTCTATTAGTTTTAAAGGATAGAGAAAAGTAGAGAAAAAGAGTAGACAGGTAGGACCCTAAGGCAGTTTCATCAAAGGCAGTTCAGCATTGATTTTATTTTTTTCAGAGATGGGTTTGTTTCTGTTTTTTATGTTAGTGTTTAGCATCAGTTTTTATTTGAATAAAAAATTAGAGCAGCTAAGGAGCTTAAAAACTGTGTCTTAGGGCACTTTTAGAAACACTCCATGTTTTATTTTCATTAGGCAAGAAATAATGATAATGGTATTTACATCCTTACCTCCATAACACTCACTGTCCCAACTCCTACTTTCTTCCCAGATGCCATCATTGTTGTGGAAGTATAATTAGATCAAATGTATGAAATGCCTTCTGCTTTGAGAGAAAGACCCTCTGAAAATACAAGTTGTCATTATCCTTGTCTCCCAGAGACACATTCAACCACAGATGTCTCCATCCTAACTCAGGGCCTATCAATCTGTGATATTTAAACTTTAGAAAACAGTTGGAGTTATCTGATGTCTTCTAAAGAACCACAGAGCTACAGATCTTAGTGGGAGATTGAGCAGCAGGATAATACACCCAGGACACCAAATATGTATCCTTTATTTTCTTTATTCCTTCTCCACTTCATTTTTTTCCAGTCACTCTCCTCTCTCTTCTTACCTATACTCCCAACCCCCTCTCCACATGGTCCTAAGGCCTTAAGATTTTCTTTAAATTTTATTAAAAGGAGCATTTTTATTAACGAAAAGTATCTTTATTAAAAGGGGTACTGATAGATCATTGTCATCACTTCAGTTTTCTCCCTCATTTAGAAGTTGGCATGAAGGGTTTGATGTACTGAACAGTATCATCTGCTCTAATGATCTGTAGACTGGAACAGCAGCTCAAAGGCTTCAGCCTTTCTGCCTCACACTGTGCAAGGGGAAACGGCTGGTGCTCATGTTTTATTGGAAGGATGGGAACAAAGGAAGTTAAGAGGACTACAGAGGGGCCATGTGAGTCATAACAAGCCTTGTGAAATCGTTTCAACTCCTTTCCTCAACCTTAGCTGTTGTGACAAATGTGTCAAAGCTTTAGACAGGGAATACTGGATGTTGATGGAGCCTGGGTAGATGTAGCACAGGATTGTGCCTCCAAGTCAAGGTACTGAAGCCAGAAATAGAGAAAAGAAAACTCTTTGCAGAAGAATATTGACATTTACTCTTACACTAGCTAAGCATTCTTAATTTAAGAAAAAATTCATTTCCGGTCTAGAAATCCACTTTGTCACAATCCTTGTGACTGCTTTATATTTGTATTGATGCCATTACAATCTGTTGACCTGAGATTGAAATCTATAAAACAACCAAATACTTAGAAGAAACGTATTCATCTCAAGGTGTGCAAGTAGCTTGCTCCCACATGTGAAGGGGTGTTCTTGCCTTCCCTGGGCCAGCTGTCATCAATCTGAGATTTCATTTAGATTTTCTGTGAACAAGTATGTTGGGTAAGTTGTGACTTCTCTGCAAAGAAACCAGATATGCATTAAAGCCCGCATGGCTTCCCTCTGGGACATATATCTGGGGCTGAGCTCGAAGCGATGATGACAAAAGTGCCCCAAGTAAGGTGCCAGTGTTTCTGTCACCTACTCTATGGGGACTTTAAGTTTATAAGTCCTTGAATTTTTCCATGACTATCTAGGAGCATAGGAGAAGTTAATATTGAATTCTTCAGATTGCACCTTATTTTCTGTTCATTTCCCTCCACATCAGCAGGGACAGCCAATGAAAGGACACTAGTAACCTTTCCCAGAGGAAGCGAAGGCCACCACATGTCTAAAAACTGAACCTGAAGTTTCTTTGCTTTGCACTCTGTTGTATTTCTTAGTTGTGATTCAGCTTTAAGTGGGAGTTAAGGAAGAAATTTGCTTCTAAGGCAAGTAGCTGGATTTTCACTGGCTATAAAAGGTTGCATGTCAGAGCTTTGTTTTTGGATTTGAGAGGCTGCCTTATCACCAGAAAATGAAGATGTAGAAACTCAAAAGAACTGCATTCTTATTTTCCATTCTTCTACACACCCTAGTAGAAATTTTTACTTACTTTATTATGCTTTAAAATCTGCATCTGCAAAATGGGGATAAATAACCTTTATTGACCTCTTAAAAACACTGTAAGGCAGGTAGTTAATGCCTTTAAAGTCTAAGGTAAGTAGCTGTTCAATCAAGAGGGTTTTATTATTATTATTATTATTATTATTATTATAATACCAATCACAGAGTGAGGTCACACCAAATAATTGTTTTCTTTTGTGTCTAATGATACATTCTTAAAGCTGTTAGGGAGCCACTTTCATCACAGAGTTAACTGGAGTCCTGTTGATTACTCTTTGAAATTGAATGCGAAAAGATTGCTAATGTCCAGTGGAGAAACAGGTACTCTTAGACGCTGTTGGTGGGAGTGTAAATTGGAGCAGTCTTTTGGAAGGCAATTTGGTAAATTCTATCAAAATTTAAAGTGTTCAAACTCCTTTAACCAAGCAATTTCACTGGTGGGTTGTAGTCTTAGAGAAAAACTTTCACATGTGCTAAAAGTAGCAAGTACAAGGATGGGGCAGGAATTTGAGCCTTTCTTTTTTAGATAGTAAAAAGCATTAGAAATTCTTACATGTTTGCCAAGGCACAACTGGAAAAACTTAAGTGACAGTACATGCATACTGTGATATTCTATGCAGCAGTTAAAAAGAATGAAGATCTGTTTGTACTGATGGGAATATACTTAGATGTATATCTAAGTGAAAAAAAACATGTTCCCATTTATGTTACAAAAGATATATTTTTATGTGTGTATCTATTTGGAGAGTTTAGGAATATATATATACCAAATTGATGACCTCTGAGAAGGAGAATAGAAAGAGTGAGCAAAGGGAAGTGTGATTTTACTTCTACTCTATGGTTCCATATCCTTTGGGTTGTTTAAAATACAGAGAAGAAGTTAGGTGTTTTTTATTAAAATAATTAATAGATTGCAGAGCCACTTCTATTTCCCAATTGAAAATTGTCAAGACAGTTCTATAGTCTATTTCTGTTGTAGGAACCGTCAGGATTGATGGAACAAGAGGTAAAATTGTCAGGGAAAAGTCAAGGCTTAGATGTATTGTCTCCATTGGCTTCAGTTTCCCTAACCCCCTTTTCTCCATTTTGTTATAAGACACTAGAGGGTGCAGGAATAAGAAAAAGAAAAATAGGAATGGTATTTTTGAAAGTATATTTCACAGAACACTTACCTTAGGCTTGAATGGGGATTCTTTTATTCAAAGCAAAATCTACAGGACTCCATTTCTCCATTTCTCTTTCCTGGAAAAACCCAATTTCCCTGTAATGCAGCTTGCCTGGAATTGGCTGTAATCTCAGCTTCACAAATGGGCCCTGACTGACCTAAGCCCATCCACTCTACCATAATTTGTTGAGGTGTAAACAAACCGAAAACAATCAGCACTTCACATTTCTATGGCCATAGTGAATGATACAAGGTGGGCATACGGCTTAATCAGAAGAGGCTAACAATTTTATTCAATGTTTGGAGGAAAGGAAGCTTTCTCTTCTGTTTGGAGATAAGCAGGTACTACCTGGAGAGACTACTATAATATAAGGGAGCTGCCTGGGGATGAAGCTGACATAAGGAGGACGTCAGAGATGAATGAGTGAATTTCAGAGAATGAAGCTGCATACACACCTGGTGCTTGAAACTCACACTATTTTTTAGTTAAGTGTGACCATAAACTCCCTTAGTCCTTTGGTTTTTTTTGTTTTGTTTTTCTTTTTTGAGACGGAGTCTCACTCTCTCTGTTGCCCAGGCTACAGTATAGTACTGTGATCTCAGCTCACTGCAACCTCTGCCTCCTGGATTTAAGCGACTGATTCTCCTGCCTCAACCTCCTGAGTAGCTGGGATTATAGGCGTGCACCACCGCAATGTTTGTATTTTTAGTAGAGTCAGGGTTTCGCTATGTTGGCCAGGCTGGTCTCAAATTCCTGACCACAAGTGATCTGCCCACTTTGGCTTCCCAACGTGCTGGGATTACAGGCGTGAGCCACCATGTCTGACAAACTCCCTCTTTTCTTTAAATCAATTTTGACTGAGATTTCTGTTATTTGGAGGTAAAACATCCCAAATTGATATGTCTTGGATGTTTGTCCTCCAAATCTCATGTTGAAATGTAACCCCCGGTGTCGGAGGTGGGCTTAGTAGGAATTGTTTGGAACATGCAGATGGGTCCCTCATGAATTGCTTAGCACCGTCCCCTTGGTGATGAGTGAGTTCTCACACTGAGTCCACATCAGATCTAGTTGTTTAAAAGTGTGTGGCTTCTGTCTCTCTCTCTCTCGGTCCTGCTCTTGCTGTGTGATGAATCAGTTCACCCCTTCACCTTCTGCCATGATTGCAAGCTCCTTGAAGCCCTCGCCAGAAGCAGATGTCAGCATCATGCTTCTTGTACGGCCCGTAGAAGCATTAGCCAATTAAACCTCTTTCTTAATAAACTACCCAGCCTTGGGTATTTCTTTATGTAATAGCAATGCCAGAACTGATTAACACGTAACTGATACACATATTGCATATCATAAGAAGCAATATAAAATGCTGATTCAGAATGTGACTCACGTCAGAGTGCTAGGATTTGAATCCTGCTATCACTTAGTGACTGAGCAATCTTGGGCGAGTAAAATAGAAATAATAAGGATACCAATCTCATAGTATTGTTGTTATGATTTAATGAGTTAATATATGTAAAATGCTTGACACCGTGGCTGGCATGTAATATACTGAATGAATTATTAGTGCAGCAATAACCACTGGGTGAAAAAAAAATGTTATATTATCAGGTAGGCTTGGGGAACCTGAATCAGCCAAAGTAAACATGATTTCTTTACTGCAAGACTTTTTGAAATGTTTAATATACCAGTGTGCATTGTGAATTTCCAAGACTGAAATGTTATATTTAGCATTTCCCAGTTATTTGTCCATTGGAAACTTTTCTTTTTTTGAGAAATAGCTTGAGTAATTGACTAATCTGCAGAATCAAAATATTGGCTTTGAGAGGACATATTTAAAATAGGACTTGGTGTGTCCGATGTCCAAGGGTCTATTGGTTTGTCTCCTGTCCTGTTTCTGTAACTGGGAGACAGACATCTGAAGAATTGTTTCCTATGCCCACTTGCAAAAAAGGGACACTTCTTTTTAATTCTTAGTCTACCTTAGAAAATATAATTTTCATTCTCAGACAAAACTATCAAAAATTCAATGCAATTCTAGTAATGATAGCTACTGTTTATTGAGTGGTTATAACACTCTGAGCACTTTGATAAACACTTCACATTCATTATCTCATTTAATATTCTCAACAGGCATATGAGGTAGGTACGATGAACTCTCCCTTTTGCAGATAAGATAACCAAAGTTTAGAGAGTTGGTAATTGCCAAGATTATCAGCTAGTTAGTAGCAGAGCTTGAATTTTGGAAGCAAGTCTGTCAAAACTTGGGATAGTAACCAACACATTAAGCTGCTATAAAGAAAACTTCCATTAGAAAATGTCCTGGAGTTCACATCTAGATATTTATAATCTAAGACTAACAACCCAATAAAATCCTTAAACCAATTTGTGCATAGACAGTTAAGCGTACACACAATACTACTAGGCTAATGAAAGTGCTTCTTTTTCTTCTTCATCTTATATGAATTTCAAAGCCATCACTATCAAAGCACCATCACCCGAGAAACTGAAAACCCAACAACATGGCTTCTCTATCAAGGAATGTCTGTTTCTTGCAGTGGTCAGATTGCCTTTCAGTCTTTTTCTGCACAGTTGATAATTCAGAAGCATTCTCCTATGCAGTAATTAAAGATGAGTTTTCCAGCCCTGTTAAAAAACTCCTCAATTTAGCTATGACAGGTTATATTTTATAATGAGGTGAAAGGATATCACTGCTGGAGAGAAAAAAATCCACGGACTCTGCTACTCACAAAAGGCTGTCAAATACTATATGCTTCAGTGTAGTGGCTCGTTGTGAAAGAAATGCTTCTGGAGGGTTTCAGATTTTCCTTGGTCTATCTGTAGTCTCAGAACAAACAACTGTGAAGGAATGGTAAAGCTCTTTAAGGAGTCAAACTCTCAGTGACTGACTGGGCCGTTTTTCCCCGGAACAGAAGCAAATGCTCACAAATGACCCTGTTCACTGTCTCTCCAATACCTGTTCAAGAAAAGCCCTAATTACAGTCCAGACCATCACAATAAAGGCATTGCTGGAGGATGGAAAAATTCACTCTGGCATTCACAGCCTTTCTGTGGGCCTAAGATGTTTATTATAAACTATTTTTTGGACTGTTTTGGTAGACAGTCAAACCCCTATCACACCTTCCTCCTGTTTCCTTCTTTGAATATGTTTTGCAAAATTTTTGTGATTGTCATCCTTGCCCTGACCAAAAGGTAGCAATGACCTAACTTTATTTCCTGTTTAAATTTAGAACAGAAGGCATGCAGAGTTCATATAACATTTATTGGCTGTGTGTGGGTGTGTGCGTGTATGTACTGTTTTATACACACACACACACGCGCGCACACACACACACACCCCTATTAATTCAAGGCTGAAACTGCTGGACTGGGGCCAGTTTTCAGCTTTGCTGTGCCATCTTAAATCGATCCCTTGGTCCCCAAGGGCTTGCAGCCATTTGCCCGTTGAAAGTGGCTAACAGGTTGAAAGCTGGTTCATTTCCTGTGGTTCTTTTAAACACAGCCAGCTGTGAGAAGACGGGAATTTGCTGTCTTTCACATTGTTTTAGTAGGCGTTTCAGGAACTTCCTGAATGGGACTCAAGTTAGTTCCTTTTTCTTTTCCTTACCAAGTTGAGACATTTTTTAATGGAGATATATATGTATATTCATATATAAAATAAAGTATAATTAACAACATAATTATATATAACATATAATAATGTATAATAGTATATAAATATAGTTATATCTTCAATTATATAATCAATTATATATAATTATATTAAACTACACATTACATACATAATTCTTTTGAAATAAAAAGATCTTATGGGAAGTTCACAGCTGTAAATTTCAGAGTCAAAAGAAAAGTAGAGAGACCTGGAGTACTTAGCTTTGTGTTCAGTTCTCTGACACCAGAGACTCCAACGTATAAACAAAACCAAAGGGGAAATTAAATTTGTCATCTAGAAAAATTTATTTAAAAAATAGTCACAGTTATAGGAAATATTACAGATTATATGACACCATATAGCCTTTATTTATCCGCCTCTTCATTGCCACAGAGTACATGTTAACCTTGAGAGCACCTTAAAAAAATTCAAGAGATCTGAGTCCTTGATTTCCTATTTACTTTCAATAATAATTCAGGTTTTGTGTCAAAATACTAATAAATATTGCCAGAAAGACAAATTATTTCTGGACTTTGTTTCTTCAGAGGATGATATCACATTAAAACTTGGCAGAAAATGTGTTTGTTAAATATTAACTTCAATAGCTTGAAAGGAAAAATATCGGGAGCCAAAATGTGTTGGACAAATAACATTATATCTTAGTGTATCCGAGAGAGAATCTAGTCATAAAGTAGGATCTTTCCTGATTTATGTCCCATTGGGACAATACTCTTTCAGTATATTTTGTTTGTTTGTTGCACTGTTCTCTGCATCACTCTAATGTTTATTGCATTTTGTTGTATATTTAATCTTTATTGCTTTTTCTCTAAATTGTTAGAAGTTTAGGGTCCACAGAGTACTGTCCATCCCAATTTGTGGCAGTGCCATCTAGTGGCAGAATGATAGCGTGTTCTCCCTAGATTTAAGTGGGGAAATGGGGAAAGAGCATGCTGGGAACAGAAGCCATTTTGTGAAGCTCAGTTGTTGTCAAAGATGAAGTGGAACTAAAATTGCACGTATATAACACTTTTATCTGCCTTCTGTGTATCTTTTTAACCCCCTAAGAAAAAGAAGTTTGCCAGAAGAGGATAATAACCAAAGCCAGTTTCATTAATTTCTTTGTGAAGACTTGTTGCAGCATCTTGTATTCAATGAAAGCTAGTAATTTTCCAGAGTCTGTGTACAGTTTATCTTCTGATGTCTCATCAAGTCGATAAGACACCTGTTTTCTAGGATTTCATACCTTAATTGGCCCCAGAATCTGTTATCTCTTTCTATATTGGTTCTCTTAAGCCATCCTACATTAAAATCCCATTTTTAAAGACATTTAAGAGAGAAGATACAGGACCATATTTATTAATATATCCAAGTATAAAGGAGTAATATACACTTTATCCTAGTAATATACTATTATATATATAGTATATATGTATCTCCAATATTCTGTATCCAAGTAATGTATTGTATCCAAGTAATATAATTTATCCAAGTACAAAGTGAAGTAATGGAGAAATAATAATTCTATAGAATAGAATATGGAGAGGATTACCAAGCTTCTGGTTTGACCTTTTAACACAAACAGGGACTTTGCCTTTTAATTTTAATTAATTTTCACCTAAAGCCTATATTACATATGGAGCAGTTCACTGAGATTCCATAAAGATGATAGTTATATTAGAAAAAGAATTATTAAAGTAACTTTGCTCACACACTCACTATTAAAACAACTGAAGGAAAATATTCTTCATATTAGGTATTTCTCAAATATTGTATGCTGTATTTAATTTCACTTCCTTTTTTTGTTTGTTTGTTTTCATTGAGATTTATCTCACTAATGGGGAATTAAAATTGGTTTTGTTTCCCTAAATTTATAGGTCCTAGGTATTTGTGGCCAGTGAATTACAAGTTTTTCTCTTTTTCCATACTTGCCATTGTGACCAGGCTTCTGCCTTACAAATGTCAGAAGTAGAGTCCTGGCCTTGGAGTTCAGCCCATTGGGCTGAGTTTCTGATCCTCAACCTAGTTATTGAGCTTCAGAAGTACAGTTTCTAGAATCAAAGAAGTTGGTGCTACTTCCTAGTCGTATGACCTTGGGTAAGATAATGAACTTCTAAACGTCTGTTTTATCACCTATAAAATATACTTTTTTGTGTGTGGTCTTGGAGATTAAGTGTGTAGTACACTTCTTGGCACATGGTAAATGCTTATTAAATTTCTGGTGTTATTACGATCACATATCTCTTTCCGGTAGTGGTTGGATGCTGTTCACTTCGGCTACAGTCCCAACTGTAAATGGGATAGGAACATTGCTAGGAGATTACCACTACTAGTTTGGATCTTACATTTTGTGGAGGAAAGTTTACTTCTTCAGGGGGACAAATGATGCCCTTCAGATACTGACCATGCCTTTCTGGGGACAGTTCTATAGCTTGGTTAGTTTTCTTAGCCATTGCCAGCGCCCCTCCGTTTTCTTTCCCTTCTGTGATATTCTTCTTTTAAGATCCCAGTACGATTCAGAGATGAGTTCACCTAGATTATAGATGACAAAATTTTATCTTTCGTTTTTTCTTTTAACCTTCCTCTATCATCTGATAGTCATGGGGGATTTGAAACTAGGGGCTAGGTGACTTCTGCACATGGTTTGCTCTAATGATCTGTACCTCCTAATGCTCAAAACAGAAACTCAAATGGAAATGAGATTTTCACAAACAAATCACTTTTGAACATGCCTTTTATAACTGTACCAAGAGTTGGTATGTGATTCTCTACTCCAAACTATCTTATTTCTTTGTGTAGTGATAGTACCCCTTGCTTTTTGGCGTCTGAAGACAAGTTTTTATTGAAAATTCCTTGAGGGCAATAACCGTGGCTTATTCACCTCTCTATAGCTCTCACAGAGCCTAGCACAAAGACTCTCACATGGTAGATGCTTCATAAATATTGGTTGAAAGGAGAGACTACCTTCCTGAAACAGCCCTTCTAGAAAGACCACTTCAGGAAGTAAAGGCCTCTCTGGTGGTTAGTAGACTAGGCCCCAAATATTTTGAAGTTGACTCTTGCCGTGAGTATGATTGCAGACTTCACCTACCATCTTCCTGCCAATTTTACTAGGAATTAAAACTAGATATAAGTTGATTTTGATTTTTTGAAGACATGTTACTGTTTTTGTTGTTACAGGTGTAAGAACCTAATTCAGAAATCCAGATATCTTCAAGAAAGATTACCATAACTTTATAAATAATAGCTAACCCTAGTATTTAATATTACTCTTTCTACTCCCAGGCAATAGGCTGTATGCCTTAATCCTCATTATCACAACTCCTCTGCCTGGAAAACATCAACTCTTTCATAGATAAAATTTGTTCCAGCACTCTGCCCATCATGATCTCTTAGGAGGAAGAATTTTTTTCAAAACCGTGCAAATAGAATGATGTATAATCTCTCTTACCTAGTTATTTGTAAGAGTTCAAGATTAGTGTATCTATTTATTTTGTTTATCCATGCATTCTTTATCTTACTTAGGTATTTAATGTTAAGTGAGTGCCTCCTATATAGCAGGACATGAGAGAGGTCTTGCAGACCAGAAACATCAAATGATTGCTGCCCTTACCATGAGGAACTCACAATCCTGTAAATTAGAGAGACGTGAAAACAAAACACGTTGTGCATGCAATGTGACCTGTGTTTAGAAAACATGTAAAGAGATTTTGGGAGCACTGAGAGAAGCATATTTTGTAAGAGTTGTAAAAGACCACATAGTGCGACGGGAGTGGGTGACTTTCAGCCTAGGTCTTAAAGAGTAACCAGAAGTTCACCAGGTGAAGTAATGGAGAAATAATAATAATTCTATAGAATAGAATCTGGAGAGGATTACTAAGCTTTTGGTTTATTCTTCTAACACAAAACAGGGACATTGCTTTTTAATTTTAATTAACCAATTTTTACCTAAAGCCTGTATTAAATATGAAACAGTTCCATGAGTTTCCATAAAGATGATAGTAATATTAGAAAAAGAATTATTAGAGTAACTTTGCTCACACACTGTGCTGAATATTCAAAGTAATTCAGGTTTATTCTCCACTTGATTTAACCTGTGTACTTTGGGTGGGCTCTCTTTTGCAAAGTCAGAAAAATTGGTTGCAACAATTGCTGATCAAGAGGTCCAGCTGATACAGTGTGGCCCAAAGCCCAGGCACACAAAAACAAGTGTTCACCATAAATCACATTGTTAGCATGCACTATTGTTAGCATGCACTATTTGGTATGGACCAAAGCTTCAGGTACATGCAAGACACTCTTATTAAGTAGCATACTCCAGATTGAGCTTGGTGGCTCACTTATGTAATCCCAGCACTATTGGAGGCCAAGGTGAGCAGATCACTACCATTCAGGAGTTCGAGACCAGCCTGGCCAATATGATGAAACCCCTGTCTCCACTAAAAATGCAAAAATTAGCTGGGCGTGGTGACACACACCTGTAATCCTAGCTATTCGGGGGGCTCAAGCAGGGGAATCGCTAGAACCCAGGAGGTGGAGGTTGCAGTGAGCCGAGATTGCACTACTGCACTCTAGCCTAGACAACAGAGCGAGACTCCATCGTGAAAAAAAGAAAAAAATAGGATACTTCAAGGCTAAAAAGTCATCTCCAGGAGTTGGACCAAGGGTCAGTCTTGAAGACCTCGGAAATGTGTAGGGTTTGAGCAGCCCAGGCCTGCTGAATTAATCCTTTACTGCCCAGAGATACAGAAGGGTTTCTTGAAATCAGGGGCTTTTCCACTTAATCTCTTTTTTAAGTATGACTCAGCTTACTTTTCTCATGTTTCTTTGTTCCCAGTGCTTAGTGCTAACCTGCTTTTTATCTTATTTCAAGACACCAATAAGCACCTCTGTGTGTGGTGTTTATTGGCATCTTAAAATAGGAGAAAAAGTTGGTGGGGAGGAAACATTCTAGCACAGGGTACCAGCATCTCTAACATCTGTTTTCCCAAGGCAACACTGACTCACGCCCATTTTATTAAATTAATGCCTACATCTCAGTGGACTTCTTTGTCTGGAAAATGTTCTTATTTGTCATGTATCCTGTGTAGAAGGATCCATGTATCTAGACTGTAATTATATAATTTTAAAAATTTATTTTATAAGAGCAAACACTGAGAAGTGTAAAGCTTTATTTTATAGTACCACGTGTTGACCTATACTTTGAATTCAAGTGACTATATATGTGCTGGAGATGGCAAGGACTGGAAAGAGGAGAGGTATAGAGGTATGGGAGAAATTTTTTGTTTGTTTATTTTTTGTTTTATTGAGATGGAGTCTCGCTTGGTGCCCCAGGTTGGAGTGCAGTGGCACAATCTTGGCTCACTACGACCTCTGCCTCTTGGGTGCAAGCGATTCTCCTGCCTCAGCCTCCCGAGTAGCTGAGACTACAGGCACCCACCACAACGCCGGGGTAATTTTTGTTTTTTTAGTAGAGACAGGGTCTCACCATATTGGCCATGTGGGTCTCGAACTCCTGACCTTATGACCTTCCCGCCTCGGCCTCCCAAAGTGCTGGGATTGCAGGCGTAAGCCCCCGCGCCTGGCCGGGAGAAAAATCTTATGATTGATAACTATTTGTATAGTAGCAACATTTAAAAAAAATCTGCACTCCACAAAAGTAAAGTGCAACTTATTATATAATATACTTTAGGTGTATTCTTAGTAAACAAACACATAGCCATTATATCCTCTCTTTTAAGATCAGTATTCCATATGAATAATTTCTGTCTTCCTGAAACACATTCATTCCCATCTCTCAGAAAATGTGCAGTGGAGAGCTAAGCCCTTTCCTTCTGCCTCTAATGTGGTGGTCCTGTACTTTGAGGGAGAACCCGTAGTTAGCAAAATTGGAGAAAAAATGAAGTGCCAGCTCTTTTCATTACTGACAGAGAGGGCTTAAATTTGATGAACCTACTCCCCTGGGGCTGGAGAACAATCGTCACCTCTCTGAAGAGTGGTATGGGGTGAGGAGGCAGGCATTTCCTTCAGCGCCTCTCCTTGCACCTGGTCTCAAAAGAACATGTCCTGGACCCATCATCCACTGCTGTTCCCTGGCCATTTTCTTTGCTTATTTACCTCTGATACTTGTTTTGTGAACAGGAGATTTATGTGGGAAGAAAATTTGTATCTTGTGCCAGAGTCACTTAATACATATTACTTAATAGTGAAATAAGAGGTTCGTCTATACATAATATAAAAACAAAACAGAACCTAACCTACATCAACTTAGCTAAATTAATAGAGAAAGGTCACATAAAACAGTTTCACTTCATTTAGACCAAACCATCACATAGTTTTCTAATTGTGTGACTCTCAGGGTGTTGCTGCTTTAGGTGTAGCTCTGTATATTTATTCCACAAAGTGTTGTGTTGGAAATTCGAATCTACCATGGCCTTATTTGGCGGTGTTGCCTGTTTTAATTTTGAGCACCACTTCATGCACTACCAGTATGAGTGAAGTGTGCTTTTTTGTCTGATAATGTGCACACTCGCCTCCTAGACTCTTTTCTAACCTGTCCCCTGCATTGGTTGGTGTAGACATTTTTCTTTCTTTATAAAATCACTGATTGCCCCCAAGCCTCCTTATTCTTAGTTGACTACCACCATCCCTACTCCATCCCTACTTGTGAAATCCAGCCTGCTCCAATTGCGCCTTGCTGCCACCTCCGTTTGGACATTACTCCACCATTTTTCTACACATTCTTTGTGTCTCCATCATCTCTCTCTCACTGGGCTCTTCCTCTCAGCCCAGCCTATCAACATTCTCAGATCTCCTCAGACTCCCAAACCCCTGGCACCATCCACTCCTTTTGCCACTACGTTAACTTCTTCCTGAATTAGTGCTCACCTCACCCAGGGCAGGGGCTGCCTAGTTTGTTCTCTTAGCTCAGTTATTTGACCTTTCCAGTCTATCCATCATGCTTCTTACTGATTAATCTGTTTAATATCCTCATGTCATTTTAGTCTCAAAAACTTTTAATGGCTCCCCAGTGCTTAGTAGTAAAGTCCAAAGTTCTTATCTTTGTGTTTTCTTCGCTAAGCCTCCCTCATGACCTGGGTACCTGCCAGCCTTTCCAGCTTGATTTCTCTCTCCTGACCTTTGTATTCTCTGCATTTGGTCTGACTACATTGTCTGTTGCTCCCTATGTGTACATTGTGCTTCCTGATCTTCTTGTCTGGGTGCACACCATACCTCAGCCTTGATAGTTTTCTTTCTCTCTCTCTCCCTCCCTCCCTCCCTCCCTCCTTCCTTCCTCCCTCCCTCCCTCCCTCCCTCCTTCCTTCCTTCCTCTTTCTCTTTCTTTCTTTCTTTCTTTCTTTCTTTCTTTCTTTCTTTCTTTCTTTCTTTCTTTCTTTCTTCCTTTTTTGAGATAGGGTCTTGCTGTGTTGCTCAGTGGCACAATCTTGGCTCACTGTAGCCTCAACCTCCTGGGTTCCAGCAATCCTCCCACCTCAGCCTCCTGAGTAGCTGGGAACACAGGCGCTCGCCACTATGCCTGGTGAATTTTTGTATGGTTTTTAGAGATGGGGTTTCACCATGTTGCCCAGGCTGGTCTTGAATTCCTGAGCTCAAGCAATCTGCCTGCCTCAGCCTCTGAAAGTGCTGGGATTACACGTGTGAGCCCCCGTCCACCTGGCCCTGGATAGTTTTCTTCCTTTCAAGTTTGTCTGCTTTCCCCCAGCCCCTGCTACCTAAATTCTGTGTTAATGTCCAACTCAAATTTAATCTCTCCCAAAAGCCATCCTTTGCTGGAAATGCTCATTTCACATCAATGGCCTTTGCTTTTGCTTTTGCTTTTCCTTCCTTCCTTCCTTCTGCTTTCTCTCTCTCTCTTTCTTTCCTTTCTCTTTTTTTTTTTTTTTTTGATGGAGTCTTGCTCTGCTGCCCAGTTTGGAGTGCAGTGGTGCAATCTCAGCTCTCTGCAACCTCCACCTTCCAGGTTCAAGCAATTATCCTGCCTCAGCCTCCCAAGTAGCTGGGATTACAGGTGCCTACCACCGCACCTGGTTAATTTTTGTATTTTCAGTAGCACTGGGGTTTCACCATGTTGGCCAGGCTGGTCATGAACTCCTGACTTCAGGTGATCTGCCCACCTTGGCCTCCCAAAGTGCTGGGATTACAGGCATTAGCCACCGCGCCCAGCCTCAATGGCCTTTTCTAAGAGGCGTTGTTTGTACACCTCTTATAGTACTTGTTCACTTTGTACTATGTTAGCTTTATTTATATACCTGCTTCATCTTTTGTACTGCAGTGCTAGCTCTTTAGGGTAGTTTACATTTACTTTTTTGTCATGTGTTTCGTGCTACCTGTCTTTAGCACAATATCTGAAAAATGTGAATGATGTATTTATTGAATGAGTGAATGAACAAATCAATGAATGTCTCCAGAAGAAAGAAGTCCTGATGGAAGTATATCTCATATCCTACCTCAGTGTCTAAGTGTGAATAAATTAAAATAATTACCCTCAGCACATCAACTCTTCCAGATATTTTGTAATTGCTCTTATCATGTAAAACATATTAAGATAATTGGGCTCAATGTGTTTATGAGCTATAAGATGTATTACTGCCCCAGACTGAAATTTGTTTCCATCTAGATTAGTAACACTGCTTTCTAACGACCTCTGCATTTTGCAGCAGAAGTCATTAGGGTATTTATCGGAAATAGAAATCAGATGGAAAAATCATCACATCTTTTCCCCTTCTCTTCACCTTCACTTGAATGCAGAAAATAGTATCTTCAAAACATTTACTGTTCTATGGCTTTTAAAGAAAACTCCAAATTTAAAATACAAACACATTGTGTGCCTTTCTCATAGTCTGACCTATAAAATTGCACACTTTAAAGTTATTTTGAAACTCGGAAATAGAAATGGGAGCATCAAAATGCAACATTGTCAACACATTAAAAATTTTGTAGGTCTGAGCTTTCAGAAAGGGACTTATTATTTTCATTCCTTCTGCTGAAACTCCCATTTATATGGCATTGCCTTCCCCAAGGATCCCCAATAAGCTTCACCCATTTCCCCACCACTGAAACAGAGAGGTACCCCTAGGCTGGAGAGCAGCTCCCATTTAATAGTGCATAACAACAGAACCAGGGCTGTCAAGCTCTGACAGCTTGAATGAGGGAAGATTTCAAACAATTATGAGTGGGATTTTAAATTCCTCACCTGAAATACACTGAAATACATTGCAGAGTTTTTATCACAAAAGGGAGATACCTTGGAAACTGCCTGAAAATTTAAGAAAAATTTAACAGAAACTTGGCAGGTGCTCATTACACAACAGTTGAGAATAAGAAATGAAATGGTGCACTGAAGGGATTTAGAGAGGTAGAACATAATCATTGATGTAAGAATGAGGCCAGGACCCAGGAGATGCAATCCCTGCCCTTTGTTACAAGACCTTGGGGATTGCAAGTGTCTAAACCCTTCCTCGTTGTTTTGTGTTTTGTCCTAAGCCAAGCAGTATTATCCTTATTAGGTAAAAAACAGGTATTGTTTAGTCTGGTAAAGCCCATTCAGGACTTGACAGAAAGGGACATTACTGCCATTAATCCACCATTCTTTAAAAAATATTCATTCATCCTTAATAGGACCCTGATTCACTATCAGTGCTTGTAGATCTGTTTTGTTGATGAGGACTTTAAGTGAATAAATACAAATTGTATTGTAATCAGGTTCAAGGTGAGGTAGTTTTTGATGAGGCGTGCCCTCTCTTCTTTCCAGACAATATCAATGTGTTCTAATGACTTGCCAGCTTTACTCTTTTAGTATCTTGTAATTTCTTGAACATATTGCCTGACAATTTATTTAGACTATTTTGAATTCCAGGACTCCTAAAATACACTTTTGTGAGCAACTTTGCTACGTCCTATCTTTATAACAAATTATTTAAAAACCCATTGAAGTGAAGAATTTAACAGGTGACCTAAATGAAGTTAAGTCATTCTAACCACTTCCTTGATTTTGCTGAATTATTTTAATTTTCTTGCTTTTTTCCCCCAAGCACAAAGCAACTCTTTATTGTCCTAAACATCCAGGCTTTGACATGAGAACCTCAAACATATAATAAATATAATAACGTATAATATAGTATTTAACATATAATAGAATATAATACAAACACATTGCATGCCTTTGTCATATTCTGACCTATAACACTGCACACTTTAAAGTTATTTGAAACTTGGAAATAGAGATGGGAGCATCAAAATGCAACATTGTCAACACATTAAAAAATTTTATGTATGTGGTTGATCCGCTTGCCTTGAACTTGTAAAGAGTTGGGATTACAGGTGTGAGCCATTGCACCCAGCTGTTTACCCACTTTTTAATTGGGTTGTTTGTTTTGCTCTGGTAAATTGACGTTCCTTATAGATGCTGGGTATTAGGCCTTTGTCAGATGCATAGATTGCAAGTATTTTCTCCCATTCTCTAGGTTGTCTGTTTACTCTGTTGATAGTTTCTTTTGCTGTGCAGAAGCTCTTATGTTTAGTTAGATCCCACTTGTCAATTTTTGCTTTTGTTGTGACTGCTTTTGGTGTCTTTGTCATGAAATCTTTGCTTGTTCCTGTGTGCAGGATAGTATTGCCTAGGTTGTCTTCCAGAGTTTTTATAATTTGGGGTTTTACATAATCCATCACATAAACAGAACTAAAGACAAAAACCACATGATTTTCTCAGTAGACACAGAAAAGGCTTTTGATAAAATTCAACACCCCTTCATGTTAAAAACTCTCAACAAACTAGGTATTGAAGGAACATGGCTCAAAATAATAAGAGCCATCTGTGAGAAACCCGCAGCCAACATTATACTGAATGGGCAAAAGCTGAATGCATTTCCCTTGAAACCCAGCACAAGACAACTATGCCCTGTCTCACCACTCCTGCTCAACATAGTATTGGAAGTCCCAGCCTGAGCAATCAGGCAAGAAAAAGAAATAAAGGGCATCCAAATAGGAAGAAAGTCAAACTATCTCTGCAGATGACATGATTATATATTTAGAAAACCCTATAATCTTGGCCCCAAAACTCTTTCAGCTGATAAACAACTACAGCAAAGTTTCAGGATAAAAAATCAATGTACAAAAATCACCAGCATTCCTATACACCAATAACAGCAAGCCAAGAACCAAATCAAAAAGGCAATCCCATTCAGAATATCCACAAAAGGAATAAAATATCTAGGAATACAGCTAACCAGGGAGGTGAAAGATCTCTACAATGAGAATTACAAAATACTGCTCAAAGAAGTCAGAGAAGACACAAACACATGGAAAAACATTCCATGCTCATGAATAAGAAGAATCAATACTGTTAAAATGGCCATACTGTCCAAAGCCACTTACATATTCAGTGCTATTCTTATCAAACTACCAATGACATTCTTCACAATATTGTTAAAATGGCCATACTGCCCAAAGCAATTTACAGATTCAGTGCTATTCCTATCAAACCTGTGAAGAAATGACATTCTTCACAGAACTAGAAATAAAAGTATTTTAGAATTCATACAGAACCAAAAAAGAGCCCAAATAGCCAAGGCAATCCTAAGCAAAAAGAACAAAGCTGGAGGCATCACATTACCTGACTTCAAACTATACTGTAGGGTTACAGTAACCAAAATAGTAGGCTACTGGTGCAGAAACAGCCACATAGATTAATGCAACAGAATAGAGAGCACAGAAATAAGGCCACACACCTACGGCCACCTAATCTTTGACAAAGCTGACAAAACCAAGCAATGGGAAAAATACTCCCTATTCAGTAAATGGTGCTGGGATAATTGGCTAGCCATACACAGAAGACTGAAGCTGGAATCCTTTCTTACACCTATATAAAAATCAACTCAAGATGCATTATTTTAACTTTTTAAATGGGAAAGGGAAAGAAGAAGGCTTTGTTAAGAGCTGTATGGGCCCACAATCCTTACATCGAAAGCCTTTGAGGCCAGATGTGTTTTGAATTCACATTTTTTTTTAATTTTAGAAATTGAATATGGTACATATTTATGGTAACACTTTTAGTGACGTGGGCAAGATCTTGAATTATTACATTACTATTTCTGTGATAAAATGTATTGTTATCGTTTGAACGTGTCCCCCAAAGTTCATGTGTTGGAAACTTAACCTCTAATGCAAAAGTTTTGAGAGCTGGGAACTTGAAGAGGTGATTATGTCATGAGGTCTGTGCTCTCATGAATAGATTAATACTGTTATCACTGGCGTGCTATCCTAATAAAAGGATGAGTTAGGCCCTCTTCCTCTTGTTCTCATACTACTCTCTTGCCCTTCCACCTCTTGCCATGCCATAGGATAACAGAGCAAAAAGGCCCACAGTATATGCATGCCCTTTGACTTTGGGCTTCCCAGCCTCCAGAACTGTAAGAATTTCCGTTCTTTATAAATCACCCAGTTTGTGATATTCTGCTGTAGCAACATAACATGAACTAAGATAGGTATGCATATTAACTTCAGTTCAGTTCTGTTCTGCATCAGTGAAATACAAAAAATCCCTTTTGGCTTTCAGAGATTTTCAAGTTTTCAGATTGTAACTAAGGGATAGGTATATATATATTTCTTGTTTAAAACAGAAAATTATGGGCCAGGCATGGTGGCTCATGCCTGTAATCCCAGCACTTTGGGAGGCCCAGGTGGGTGGATCACGAGGTCAGGAGTTTGAGACTAGACTGGCTAACATGGTGAAACCCATCTCTAGTAAAAGTACAAAAATTATCCAGGCATGGTGGTGTGCACCTGTAATCCCAGCTACTTGGGAGGCTGAGGCATGAGAATCGCTTGAATCCAGGAGGTGGAGGTTCCAGAGAACTGTGATCATGCCACTGCACCCCAGCATGGGTGACAAAGTGAGACTCCATCTCAAAAATAAAAAAAACAGAAAATTATGAATGACAACAAAAAAACCTACAACATTCTTATTTATTTATTTATTTATTTATTTATTTATTTTGAGACAGAGTCTCGCTCTGTCTCCCAGGCTGGAGTGCGGTGGCATGATCTCGGCTCACGGCAAGCTCCGCCTCCTGGGTTCGTGCCATTCTCCTGCCTCAGCCTCCTGAGTAGCTGGGACTACAGGCGCCCGCCAACACGCCTGGCTAATTTTTTGTACTTTTAGTAGAGACGGGGTTTCACCGTGTTAGCCAGGATGGGCTCGATCTCCTGACCTCGTGATCTGCCCGCCTCAGCCTCCTAAAGTGTTGGGATTACAGGCGTGAGCCACCGCGCCCGGCCACATTCTGTTTTATTAATGAGTAAATCAAACCTCAGTCCGAGGTCAAACAGGTATGGAAGGATGAAACCAGAGTCCTTCCATTCTATTTTACCACATTGCCCTTCTTTATCCTAAAGACCCACTTAATTTGTTTTTTCCATTTTTGACCTCGTTTCTACTGCTTAATATGCATGGATCCAATGAAATCATAGGTTTCCGTCTATGCAGTGCGGGTCCTGATGCAATATTAAAATAAAAATGTATTTGATCTCAAATAAAATGTGAAATCCTCTACAAGGTCAGAATTCAAGTCCTAAAACCAGTTAAGTTAGAATGTGATAGGACTCCTTTTTCTTGTAAAAATATCATCTTAAAAACCTGACTCAGGTTTTTAAGGATGGGTATCAATGAGTACATGAAAATCTGGAAGATATCTCAGGCTTTGCCAAATATTTTTGGAAATATTCAAAGGGATGATAAAAGGAAAAGAATGTTGCAGGATTATTTTTGTTTGTAATTTTTGTCACACCAACTAAGATCAGAGGGAAAATGTCATTTTGAAGTTACGTGAAGAACATTTTTGACACCAGGCTAACTCTCCACATCTTTCTTACAAATAAAAAGAAACTCTTATACATATTCCTTTCACATAGCTATCACCCAACAATTTTTGAATTATGTGATTAAAGAAGACTTAATGATGAAATATGGGACATTTTGTAGCTTAAAGATGAGATTGCCCAAGCAGTGGTCACATTCATATTAAAGCTTCCAAATGCCACGTTCGTATTAATTTTTTCCTGGCCACGAAAAGATTTATTTTTATATATGAAAACTATAGACATAAGTTTATTTCTGAGTCCACTGAATCCTCTCCTCAAAGGGCAAAAATACTTCAATTTGACCACTCAGGAATGTGAAAGAAAATATCATGTCCCTAAAAATTCATGATTTTTTAAAGCATTTCCTTCCTTCCTTCCTCCCTCCCTTTTGCTCTCTCTTTTCCTTCCTTCCTTCCTTCCTTCCTTCCTTCCTTCCTTCCTCTTTTTCCTTCCTCTTTTTCCTTTTCTTTTTCTTTCTTTTATAGAATCCACAACTTTATTTTAAAATTTTATTTATTTTTATTTTCAACCCGGGGGGATGCATGGGCAACGTTGTTACAAGGGTATATTGCTTGATACTGAGGTTTGGCATACAGATGGTCCTGTCACCCAGGTGGTGAGCATAGTACCCAATAGGTTGTATTTGGCCTATGGCCACCTCCCTTCCTCCTGCATCTAGTAGTCCTCAGTGTCTCTAGTTCTTTATGTCTATGTGTATTCAATGTTTAGCTCCCTTTTATAAGTGAGAATATGCAATATTTGGTTTTATGTTCTGTTTAATTCACTTAGGATAATAACCTCCAGCTGTATCCATGTTGCTGCAAAGGATATAATTTTGTTCTTTGTCTGGCTGTATGTTATTCCATGGTGCATATGTACCACATTTTATTTATCCAATCCACTGTTGATGGGCACAAATGTTGATTTCATGTGTTTGCTATTGTGAATAGTGCTGTAATGAACATACAAGTGCATGTGACTTTATAGTAGAATGAATTATTTTCTTTTGGGTATATGTCCAGTAATGGGATTGCTGGGTTGAATGGTAGTTATATTTTAAGTTCTTTGAGAAATCTCCTATCTCCTCTATTTTAAGTTCTTCGGAAAGCAGTTGAGAAACTGACTTTTTAATGGTAGCCATTCTGCCTGTTGTGAGGTGGTATCTCACTTTGGTTTTGATTTGCTTTTCTTTGATGGTTAATTATGATAAACTTTTTTTTTTTCATTTCTTTGTTGGCCCCTTGTATGTCTTCTTTTGAGTAGTGTCTGTTCATGTCCATGGCCCATTTTCAAATTGGATTATTTGCTTTTTGCTTGTTGATTTAAGTTCCTTTACACTCTCGATATTTGACCTTTGTCAGATACACAGTTTGTGAATATTTTCCCCCATTCTGTAGGTTGTCTGTTTACTTTTTTGATAATTTCTTTTGGTGTACAGAAACTCTTTAGTTTTATTAGGTCCCACTTGTTAATTTTTGTTTTTGTTGCAATTGCTTTTGGGGACCTAGCCATAAATTATTTGCCAAAGCTGATGTGGAAGGTATTTCCTAGGCTTTCTTCTAGGATTTTTATAGTTTGAGGTATTACATTTACGTCTTTGATCCATCTTGACTTAATTTTTGTGTATGGTGATAAGTAGGGGTCCAGTTTCATTCTTCTGCATATGGGTAGCCAGCTATCCCAGCACCATTTATTGAATAGGGAGTCCTTTTCTCATTGTTCATCTTTGTCAATTTTGTCAAAGATCAGATGGTTGTAGGTGTATGGGTTTGTTTCTGGGTTGTCTATTCTGTTCTGTTGGTTTATATGTCTATTTTTGTATCTGTACCATGCTGTTTTGTTTTCTGTAGCTGTATAGTGTAGTTTGAAGTTGGGTATTTGATCCTTCCAGCTGTGTTCTTTTTGCTTAGGATTGCTCTGGCTATTCAAGATATTTTTTGGTTCCACATGAATTTTAGGATAAATTTTTCCAATTCTGTGAAACATGACATTGGTGTTTTGATAGAGATAGCATTGAGTCTATAAATTGCTTTGGGCAGTATGGCCATTTTAAGGATATTAACTCTTCCAATCCATAAGCATAGACTGTCTTTTCATTTGTTTGTGTCATCTCTGATTTCTTTCAGCTGTGGTCTGTAGTTCTCCTTGCAGAGATCTTTTACCTCTTTGATTAGATGTATTCTTAAGTACTTAATTTTTGTGTGTGTAGTTATTGTAAATGGGATTGTGTTCTTGATTTGGCTGTCAGCTAGAGAAGTCCCAGGAGACTTTTTGGCAGTCTTAAGGGTTTGCTATATATAGAATCATATTATCTGCAAAGAGCAATAGTTTGATTGCTTCTTTTCTTATTTGGATGGCCTCTATTTCTTTTTCTTGCCTTATCACTCAGGTGAGGACTTTCAGTACTATGTTGACTAGGAGTGGTAAGAGTGGGCATCCTTGTCTTGTTCTAGTTCTCCAGGGAAATAGTTCCAGTTTTTGTCCATTCAGTATGATGTTGGCTGTGGGTTTGTCATAGATGGCTCTTACTATTTTGAGGTATGTTCCTTTTATGCCTAGCCTGTTGAGGGCTTTTATTATGAAGGAATGTTGAATTTTATTGAAATCTCTCTTTGTGTCTATTGAGATGATCATATGGTTTTTGTTTTTGATTCTGTTTATGTGGTAAATTACATTTATTGATTTGCATATGTTGAACTAATCTTGCATCCCAGGAATAAAGCCTACTTGATTGTGGTGAGTTAAATTTTTGAGGTGTTGCTGGATTCAGTTTCCTAGTATTTTGTGGAGGATTTTTGAGTCTATGTTTATCAGTGATATTGGCCTGAAGTTTACTTTTTTCATTGTGTCTCTGCCAGATTTTGGTATCAAGATGGTGCTGCCTTCACAGAATGAGTTAAGAAGGAGCCCCTCTTCCTCAATTTTTTTGGAAGAGTTTTGGTAAGATTGATATCAGTTCTTTGTATGTCTGGTAGAATTTGGCTCTGAATCCTTCTGGTCCAGCTATTTTTTTGGCTGGTAGGGTTTTTTTTTTTTTTTGCATTAATGATTCAATTTTGAAACTTCTTAGTGATATGCTCATGTTTTCACTTTTTTCTGTTCAATTTTGGGAGGTTGTGTTTTTTGGGAATTTATCCACATACTCTAGATTTTCTAATTTGTTTGCATGGAGGTATTCATAATAGACTGAGGATCTTCTGTATTTCTGTGGGATCAGTTGTAGTCATCTTTTTTATTTCTGATTAAACTTATTTGACTTATTTGGATCTTCTATTTTTCTTTCTTAAAATCTAGCTAGTAGTTTATCAATCTTGTTTATTATTTTGCAGAACCAAATGCTGGTTTTATTGATCTTTTGTATGAACTTCTGCATCTCAATTTTGTTCAGTTTTTTTTTTTTTTTATTTTTTGAAAAAGTCTTGTTATGTTGCCCAGGCTGGAGTGCAATATTGTGATCATGGCTCACGCACTACAACCTCGACCTTCAAAGCTCAAGAGATCCTCCTGTCTCAGCCTCCCACGTAACTGGGACTGCTGGCATGCACCACCATACCCAGCTTTTTTTGTTTTGTTTTGAGTTTTTATAAAGATGGGGGTCTCACTTTGTTGCCCAGGCTGGTCTTGAACTCATGGGCTCGAGGAATCCACCTGCCTTGCCCTCCCCCAAATGCTGGGATTATAGTTATGAGCCACCATGCCTGGAAATTTTATTCAGTTCTCTGATTTTCATTATTTCTTTACTCCTGCTAGCTTTAGAGTTGGATCTTTCTTTCTTTCTTTCTTTCTTTCTTTCTTTCTTTCTTTCTTTCTTACTTTTTTTTGGTTTCAGTCCTCTAGGTGTGATGTTAGATTGTTAATTTGAGATCTTTCTAAACTCTTGATGAAAGCATTTAGTGCTGTGAACTTTCCTCTCAACACTGCTTTAGCTATGTCCCAAAGATTTTGGTGAGTTGTGTCTCTGTTTTCATTAATTTCGAAGAATTGTTTTATTTTTGCCTTAATTTCATTATTTCCCTCAAGAGTTATTCAGGAGCATGTTGTTTAATTTCTATGGTTTCATGTAGTTTTGAGAGATCTTCTTGGTATTGATTTATATTTTTATTGCACTGTGCTCTGAGAGTATACTTGGTATGATTTTGATTTTTTTGAATTTATTGAGACTTGCTTCTGGCTAAGCATGTGGTTAATATTAGAATATATTGCATGTATGGATGAGAAGAATGTATATTCTGTGATTGTTGGGTGGGGTGTTCTGTGGGTGTTTATTAGATCTAACTGATCAAGTGTTGAATTTAATTCCAGAATTTCTTTGTGAGTTTTCTGCCTTGATGATCAGTCTAATGCTGTCAGTGAAGTGTTGGAGAACTTGTTTTATGAATCTGAGTGTTCCAGTGTTGGGTGCATATATATTTAGGATAGTTACGTCTTCCTTTTTTTTTTTTTTTTTTTTTTAGAGGGCCTCTTGCTCTGTCTCACTAGGCTGGAGTGTGGTGGCGTGATCTTGGCTTACTGCAACCTCTGCCTCCCAGGTTCAAGTAATTCTCCTGCCTCAGCCTGCTTAAGTAGCTGGGATGACAGGCGCATGCCACCATGCCCAGCTAATTTTTTGTATTTTTAGTAGAGACAGGGTTTCACCATGTTGGCCAGGATGATCTCAATCTCTTGACCTCATGATCCGCATGCCTTGGCCTTAGGATAGTTAAGTCTTCTTATTGAATCGAACCCTTTATCATTATGTAATGGCATTCTTTGTCCTTTCTGATTGTTGTTGGCATAAAGTCTGTTTTTTCTGATATAAGAATAATGACTTCTACTTCTTTTATTCCTGTTTACAACATAGATTTTTCTCCATCCCTTTACTTTGAGCCTTTGGATGTCATTAGATGTGAGATGCATCTCTTAAAGATAACAGTCAATTCTTGTCTTTTAATCCAGCTTTCTACTATATTCTTTTTAAGGGGGGCGTTTAGACTATTTACATTCAGCGTTATACTGATACGTGAGATTTTGATACTGTCATTTTCTTGTTAACTAGTTGTTTTGTAGGCTTGATTGTGTCATTGATTTATATTGTCTGTGGTGTAAGTGCTTGAGTATGTTTTTGTAGTTGTGAGTTACAATCTTTCATTTCCATGGCACTCCCTTATGGACCTATTGTAAGGCTGGTCTTGTGGTAATAAGTTTCCTTAGTGCTTGCCTGTCTGGGAAGGATTTTATTTCTCCTTCACTTGCAAAGCTTCATTTGGTGGGCTATGAAATTCTTGCTAGGTATTTATTTTCTTTTAGAACACTGAAAATAGGCTCCCCAATCTCTTCTGATTCATAAGGTTTCTGCTCAGAGTTGTTACTAACCTGATGGGATTCCCTTTGTAGGTGACCTGACCTTTCCTCTAGCTCCTTTTAAGAATTTTTTCTTTTGCACTGACCTTGGTGAGTCTGATAATTATGTGCATTGAGGATGACTGTTTTGTATAGTATCTGATAGGGGTTCTCTGTATTTCTTGAATTTGTATGTCCACTGCTCTAGCAAGACTGGGGACATTTTCATGGACTATATCCCCAAATATGTTTTCTGAGTTGCTTATTCTCTCTTCTCTGTCAGGAATGCCAATGAGTCATAAATTTTATCTCTTTACATAATCTCATGTTTCTTGGAGGCTTCATTCATTAAAAAAATTTTTTGTCTGTATTTTTTTTTCTTTTTTTTTATTATACTTTAAGTTTTAGGGTACATGTGCACATTGTGCAGGTCTGTATTTTTGTCTGGCTGTGCTGATTCAAAAAACAGCTCTTTGAGCTCTGAGATTCTTTTCTTAGTTTGGTGTGTTCTACTTTTAATGCTTCCAACTATATTATAAAATTCTTGAAGTGAATTCTTCAATTCCAGAAGTTCACTTTCGTTCTTTCTTAAAATGGTTATTTCATCTTTCAGCTCCTGGATTATTTTATTGGATTCCTTGGATTGGATTTCAACTTTCTCCTGGATCTTGATGAGCTTCCTTGTCTTCCAGATTCTGAGTTCTGTGTCTGTCATTTCAGTTATTTCAATCTCATTGAGAACTGTTGTTGAGGGACTAGTTTGTTTGTTTGAAGGTAAAGTGACACTTTGCCTTTTTGAATTGCCAGAGTTCTTGTGCTGATTTGTTCTCATCTGAGAGGGCTGGTGTTCCTTTAACTGTGTGGCATGTTGAATATAGTCAGTTGGCTTCATTTCTGGGTGCTTTCGGAGGGCCAAGGCTCTTTACAGAATCTTTATTTGTAGTTGTATTTTTGCCTTAGGTTTCACAGGTGCTGTATACTGGCAAAATACTTTTGGTGTTATAATTTGGGCTGTGATCCAGTAAGTGGTACTTAAGATTGGTGGCTGGCACTTAGGCTCTGCCATGTGGTTCTTTGGTATTTTGGCACATCTGCAGTACTCTGTGGTGGGGTTGGGGGAGAGATAACCCTGTCACCAGGTCCTCTCCCAGACCTTTGAGGAGCCTCCATCCAATCTCTGGTGCCCACCTGAGTTTCCATCATGAGGTGTTCTGGGCCACAGAGCTCCCTCCAGCAGTGGTCGTGGCTGGCAGACCACTTCCTCAACTGGCCCAATGGAGGGAGGCACACCCACTCACCCACCAGCCCATGAGACCAGCCGTCTCACCCCTCTCATTGTTCTGTGAGTGGGGCTTCCCACTCTTGCTTGGGCACTGCCCAAGCCAGCAACAAGTGCCTAGCTAGGGGCAGCAGTGGGTGGAGTTGCCTGATCCATCATCTTGGTATTTCCTGGGGGAACACAGAGCTGTACCTGCCTGCAGAATTCAGGCAAAGGTGGGGCTGCTGTGCTAGGAGACCTGACTAGCAAGGCTAGTGGGTCTTGGAGCTGTGGGGGTGGCTAGGAGCAGTGCGGGTGGGTGAAGTCACCCAAACTGCCATCTGGGTGCTTCCTGGGGGAATACGGAGCTGTGTCCACCCTCAGAGTTCAGGCACAGGCTGGTATACTGTGCTATAAGTCCCAGCCAGTGTGTCCCACCCAGCTATGAGCAGTGGTGATGGGTGGAGTCACCTGATCTGCCATCCAGATCTTTTCTGGGATTGGGCTGCACCTACCCACAGAGTTTAGGCAGAGGTGTGTCCACTGTGCTGGAAGCCCCAGTTGTTGTGACCTGCTGGACTCTGAGCAGTGCGGAGGAGGATGGTTAGAGTCACCCAGTCCACCATCCTGATGCTTCCCAGAGGAACAAGGAGCTGTACCTGCCTGCAGATTTCAGGAAGGGGCAAATCTGCTGTGCTCAATTAATGATTTCTTATGCTTAAGTATTAATTAACATTCTAGACTACATATAGTATTGCAACTGTCTTCCTTAATTAAAAAGTGTAACTCTGTTCAGAGTCTTTGGGAATAGGAAGCAAGTTATGGAGAACATCTATGTAAGACTATAATTTTAAAATTTAGACAATATTTTCAGAATTCAGATTATATGGTAGTGCAATATTTTTTGTTCAGGAAACGCACAGTAGAACTTTAAATTCAGAGTTTATGTACTGTATCTCTTGGTAAAAGACTGCTTTGTAATATAAATTCTTCAAAGAAAAAGATTTTCTCTCATTTCACAATGGATCCAGAATCTCTTTATATCAAAACATAAATCTTTTTGTGCAATTAAAGTGTTCAGACACATTAGATAGCTGTAACATTAAATTTCGTAAGGTCAGTGATACCATCAATTCAATTAATTCTCTCAATTATCCTCTGCATTGTTCCAAAACTGTTCTCATCAGGGTGGCCAATGTGATGGTATCAACAAGCGGGGAGAAGCTGCCTGGCATCCTGGTGGATTTTGGTCAGTGTGGTTTCTACACTATCAAACTATTTGTTGTGAAAGACCTGGAGTCTTGTTTTTAAAATGCCATGATTGTATTTTAGTTTGCTTACTTTTGTAAATAGAATTGAGAAAGTGCAAATGTACCCCGTTTATCAATATTTACTTTGTATATCTGTTTGCCTTGTGGCATATAGACTCTGATCTTTTCTGTAGTGCATATATTCAGATTAATTTTGTGAATTGTGTGTATTAGCTCACAATTCTTGAATGACTGAAGATGATATTATATTTTAATATAATATAATATTAAATAAAAATTACTCCGCATCTTTTTTTTTTTTTCCCATGCAACTTTCTTAGGATTTGTGTCCTTCCCTTTGAATGCTTTGGACCACTCTCTAGGAAGGTTTTCTCTCTGGTAACCTGTTAAACACTTATACTTTATCAAATAAATATAGTTTTGAAACACAATAAATAAATGCATGTGAATATGTTTTAGGGCTTTAAAAAATAATCGATAAAGTGCTAGTTTCATGTTTCTACCTGTTCTAACAGTGCTTTTTAATTTACAGGAAACCTTCATGAAGTGCTCTATTTAAATTTGAGGATAAGGAGAATTTGGAGACGGTCCAGATAGAGTAATAAAAATCAGTAAGCCTAGATGCAAATACATTTTGGGAAAATGATAATGTGTGCCAAGATTTTAGTCAACCTGCCAAAAATTGCATTTTACAAAATACAGTGGTGTTATTCACGCATTTTTCGCACTGTGAATGCTAATGAATAATTCCCAGTGGTTGTAGAGGGGACTGATCCAATGCTTAATGTAGATGTGGTTTAAGATTTTCTCTTAAAATTGGGCTCCATGGGTACCTAATTCTTACTATTCTATGTTATGGTAATGAACCTAAAGAGAAGAGAAAGTGTAGGAAAAAATGTTTTTAATCCTAGGCCCTGGTTGTAGAAAATTTTTCATTAACTGATCCATTTCAGGTTTGCTAAAAGAACAACTGGAAGAAAAGTAAGTTTTCCTCCTAACAATGTTGAGTTCATATAAGACTCATATCCTGATTTTACCATCTTGGTTTTTCTCAAATTCAATCTTTTTTTGTAAAAGACTGGAAGAAGGATTCAGCCAACTATTCTGAGGCAGATTTCACCATGGAAAGAATCTAGACTTTGCCGTTTAGTTGAATTGGCTACTGATCATACCTCTGTCACCTGTTAGCTCTGTAACTTGTGCTAGTTGTATAAATGAGAATAGTAATTGGTATCTAGCTTTTAGAGTTCTTGTGATGATTACAGAAATTTTTTTAAAAAAGCACTGGTTCAAAATAGGTACTCAATAAATGTAAACCCTCTTCTTAAAAGCAATTATGGTACAGTTCAACCTAACTAGGAAATTGAAATCTGGTCATACATTTAGAAGAAATATTCAGGTAAATATATTTAAGTGATAAAATGGAGAATTTCAGGGAGGGAATCATTTGTTGTACTAAAAACAGACACATTAGAAATATTTCAAATGCCCATTGAACAAATAAAAGGCACCTCTACTCTTACTGCATCTGCCTGTCTGAATTCTTGGTTAATCATATTTAATTAAAACATTTAAACCTGTTCCTTAGAAATACATTCCTAAAACTAAAAAGAATGCACTGGTATCAGAGTAGGTAAAGTATATAGATGTAATGGACAATTATTGTCTAAATCACAAAAGTAGGTAGATCTGTTGATATAAAACATTTATCTTGCATTCTTTAAGTTAGACTTTATGGGGTTTATTATTATTATTATTGAGACAGAGTCTCACTCTGTCGCCAGGCTGGAGTGCAGTGGCATGATCTCTGCTCATTGCAACCTCCGCCTCTCAAGTTCAAGCGATTCTCCTGCCTCAGCCTCCTGAGTAGCTGGGACTACAAGTGTGCGCCACCATGCCCAGCTAATTTTTGTATTTTTAGTAGAGACGGGGTTTCACCGTGTTGGCCAGGATGGTCTCGATCTCTTGACCTCATGATGCACCTGCCTCAACCTTCCAAAGTGCTGGGATTACAGGCGTGAGCCACCACACCCAGAAAGTTAGACTTTTAAAGTAGGTTCATATTTAGAGTTACTGGATAAAATGTAAGACAACCAGTTAAATTTGAATTTTGGATAAACAATGAATATTTTCTCAGTATAAGCGTGGGGCATACTTATACTAAATTATTATTATTTATTTGAAATTCAAATTTAACTGGATGTTCTATATTTCTATTTGCTAAGTATGGCAACCCAACTCATATTTTCAACTCTTATTTATACGTGTTATGATTATATTATGAATTATCCTACTATAAAACCAACTCCCTTTACTTATAGTTGATCTCAGCAAATTTTTACATATCATTTCTGACTTATTTCTTGAGACATTTTTTCTTTATATGTAAAAGAAATGGTGACGTTAAAATTCTAGGAGAAACCTGAAGCTAACTACTCTATGAGAAACAGCTTCTACAAACTGCATAATGGATTTCAAGTTGCATTCACATTGCTCTATTTTAATAAGTACGAGCAAAAGATCTCTAAAAGCAGAAGATAGCTGATATCATCAAATTCTACTACATGGCACTACAAAGGAGAGAGAAGGAACAATCAATTCAGAAGTTATGAAAGGCTGTCCCTTGGTAAGCTGCATATACGGTGTGGGAAGGCTCCCGTGTATGTAGCAGTATAATGAAGCTACAAGAGGGAGAGACTATGCTTTCAGTTTTATTCATATAATGCACAAGAATTTTGAATTCATTTCTTTGGAGGGTAAGCACCTTAAATCACCCATGTAACATCAGCTTTATTGTTCAGTGTTATAGAACAGAAGAAATAGGAAAGGGTTTGAAGAATTAAACGAATATACAGAAAACTTGTTTGTACACGTGCCTTCTGTTTTAACAGTAAATCACTAACTTTTTAGACCTGAAACTGCTTGCTAACACTTAGTTCCGGGGGAAAAATGAGAGCAAAAGAGAAAATTTCCCCCAGATTGGAACAGAAAATAATGTTGAAGCAAATAGAACGCTATATACTTCTGACAGTTCAAATGATACATAAGTACACAGGCTGACAAGGGCTGTGTTGTCCCTGCAGTTCACTTCGCTCAACTCTGCATGGTTCTGTAGGACAATGAAATTCAATGCACTTAGAATTTAAAAAAAAAAAAAAAAAAGCAGAAGAAGAAGAAGGAGAAAAAGAAAAAAGTGAGCTCAGATTCTTTTAAAAGCATTTCTATGAGAAAACAGATCATTTACATGCCAAAAGCACTTTTAATGTGACATATTTAGCACATGTATTATTTAGAACGAAAGCTGCTTGAACTTAGTGAATTCTAAAGTCTATAAAATGGCACCCCACTGAGCAGAAAGGTAGCTGTTCTCTGTTATGTGATTATTTTGAATAATAGACTTGTACGTAACTTTTTACGAAATTAAAGGTATGACATTTACTTTCGTTTAGCCCCATAAATTGCACTTTAGAATATAAAGAATGGGCTGATGTATGAATTTGTTGTTCCTTCAAACAGTTTAACTGATTTTTAAAGAACAGTTTTGTGTTTCATCTATCGAGTAACACATCAAACAGTTATCTTAGTAGAATCTTAGTAGACTTAATGAGACTCCTGTATCACTTAACTCTTCCAAGAAATGTTCAGGGACCTGTAAAACGAGAGAGGCGGACACTAGGTTTGTTTTGTTTTCTGCTTTCACTGGAGCCCAAACCCGGGTTAAGGAGTACCAACTCAGCTCCAGGAGTAGTTGGGTGCTGAAGGGAGCATGGCTTCTCATTAGCCGTTGCATGGTGGGACAATGGTATATAACTCCAATTCCTTTGGAGAAGAAAATTGGAATTGCAAATCTTATATGATTTTGGACGTACTCTCCAGACATCCAATTTTACAAGATGACCCTTTCATCAGAGCCTACTGTTTGACTTCTAGGGATCACTGAGAAAATACTTGTTTCTTTGAGTGTGACTGAGGACAAAATAACCAGATCTTGAAAAATTATTATAGAGATCTGTTGAAAAAGGTCTGCGTTCTCGGCTCTTCCTCATTTATGATAATTTTGCTTTGGATGCAGAGATATTGATGAATTAAGTTGAATACACACATGTATACACACAGAAACACCCATATTGGGCTGAATCTCTGTGATGTGGCTGGCCAGAACTCTATGAAGAAGTGACTCTCCAGGTAGAATCCTCAGAAATGGCTTAAGGTACAGATAAATTCAGGACGGTGCATGTGTTTACCAAAGACAGTCCAGTATGCATTGGACCTCTGTGAATTTAAAGAAGTGAATGATTAGCTAGGTGGTGTTAGGGTAAAAGTGTGGTGTTTGTATGCAGACCATTTAGAGATTTCCATTTTTAAACCTCTTCTCTCTTCCCCACTTCCTTCACCCCCTCCAGAGATTTCAATGATAGTGTTTAAATTTGCTTCAGGCTTTAAACTTGGCATTCGGAAAATCAGCTCAGCAACTCTTGAGTAATTTATCTGGGTTTCCAGAAAGTCTCTCTAGTTCCGTTTAAAGATAGAGACACTTGATTGGAAAACAAAGTGCTGTGGCAAAGTCACAGATTTGCTGCGAGTCCACATAGCTCTACAAACAGGGTGTTTGTTTCTTTAAGGAAATGTTGCTTTGGCTAATCCTGACAAGGTGCTTTTCTCTCTCTTTTTTGTTTTTTGATTTTCTGAGTTAAAAGAAGCAAGATTTTGAGTATTAATAAAATTAGCCCTTATAAAAAGGAAGATTTTTGCTATTTGTATACCCTTGTCTATATTGCTATTACAACAGCTTTGTTCAGAGAGAGATGGAACTAAAAGTGGATCTGCAGCCCAAAAGGTGCAATTATGGTCATTGAAGCCAATAGCATAATTATGTATATAGCGTATATATTTATCAGATATGTGCAGCCATTTTGAACTCTTTATGTATTATCATTACCACTTTGCAGCTTTCTTGAAACAATTTTGAACATCATCTAAGCAAAAATCACTGAGAAGGTTAAATGCTAAAAACATACTTTTAAATTACATTAGGGTTATGGCGTAAAGCCAAGAAAATCACAGAATTTTTGTCCTATCGCTGTTCTCTATTTCCTTGAGATTAATTAACATCAGAAATTTAATTAATTCTTTTTGTAGTCAGCAATCTTTTGTTCTTATTTTGAGGAATATGATTCAAGAAGATAGAAGGACTTAAACAAAAACTTTCAAACTCTACTAGGAATTTATGTTTACTTCTTTATGTGCAGTATTAATTTCCATTTCCAGAATAAACACCTCTCCACCTGGGATAGTGACAACTTTTCATTTTTAAACCAAAAATTTTGCATTCTTTGAAGTCTAGTTTATTTCACACCTTTCCAGGGCTCTCTTTAATGCAAGCAGGCAGGACCCCTAATCTTCCCATTTTGCTGCAATCCAACAGTTACTAATATTCACATATATGTGTTGGTGAAAAGGAACGTTTCTCTTAGCAAGCATGAGGCAAGGTTTTAATTTGTAGCTGATAATTTGCTACTGGAAGCTTACCCTGATTAGTCTTCTTACTGCACCAACAGTTTTTGAGGTGGTGTGAATTACCTGCTGTGTATGTTTTTACCACTCACTCAGGGATGAAAATGAATTACAGCCTAGCCCTCAATTAAAGCTTGAAATAAGAAAACCTCAAACTTCTTTTATGTCCTCACTTCTAAAGAACAGAATTAGTTGTTTCTGATATCATTGGAATTGTAATTCACACTCTTAGAAATCCTGCAATGGATCTTTCAGCTCCACTCAAACAAGCACATCTCAGCTGTTACCCAATTACATTGCCTTTGCTCCAAGTCAAATCATCATCCAACAGCTGAGAACTGAAACAAACTCCATTTGTGAAAATGAACCATAGGTTTATTGATAATGCAGAATGTTTTAAAGTGTTAATTCTCTTCATCCTACAGAAATTAATATGTTATTTTGGGTCCTATTAATTGTGAAATCTAGGAAACTGAGTCATAGACTTTGATTTAATTTGTCATTGATGTAGTCTAGTTTTCAGCAGTGCTGAAAAGAAATAAACTAATGGAAACCTTGAATAAATATTTTTGACACACTGTCGTTAGATCTTTTGAGAAAATGCCCATCACTTTAAACCAGTATGTTACAAGTCTATAAAAGCTCACATTGTATTGCTCGTGAGATTGTTGGGTAGTCTCGCCATCTCAAAAGGAAGCACAGAGGCAGTCAAATAGTCTATGTGTTTATTCATTGGTTCATGTTCTTATTGGGCACCTATTGTATGTTTCATTTGCTCATGCTGCCCGAAATAGAGCGCTCGTGAGTCCTAAAGCACTTTTATTCCACATAGGAAAACAGTTTATTCCATTCACTCTCAGGAAGAAAGGATCCTGTGAGGGGATTGTATTCATGACTTGTCACATATCCCAAGTCTGTCTCTGTTCTACAAACCTCTTAGTTTTCTATGGAAAAGAAGGGGGATACCTGAGTATCTTATGCAAGAACAGCATAGAAAGTGTCAAGGAGAAGGAAAAGCAAGCAGGGACTGAAGTTATAGTGTGGTCTTCAGCTCTGATGAGTAGAAAGACTAAGGCCAGTTGGAGGGTACAGCCTTGTTCAATTAAAGAAAACTTTTTTCCTTGATGTGGCTGAGGAAATAGATATTCTATTTGAATTGTGAGAGAGGAAGCAAAGGGCTGCTCAGCTTGGAGTGGATCACATATAGGGCTGTGTGGGAACAAGAGGAATAAACAGAGGAGACAGAGCCGGGCACTTCCAATCAGATGATAAACTCCTTGATAATAGAAGTCTGTGTGTGTGTGTGTGTGTGTGTGTGTGTGTGTGTGTGTATGTGTGTGTGTTTTCCATAACAGCTAGTTCAGGACTGGATTCACAATTGGTATCAATTTTGGTTTCCTAATTAGCAATTCATGTTCCAAGGTTAGAACTCAAGTTTATAAAGTCAAAGGAAGGGCAGTGATATGCTGGATACATTATATTCAGCAGAGTTTACCTTACTCTTGATATTAACAGACTTATATCAAATTTACCAATGAATCTTCATTATATTTTCCTCTACTTTGAAGTCATAAATTTACTAGTTATAATTCTATTCTGTAACATCACAGGAAAGATGATGTGTGTAGCTCTGCATGTTCACCTTCCTGGAAGGAGAAAAATCACCATTTAGTTCTTCCTACCTTCATTGCTATCAAATGATAAAAATTGTTGATAAGTAGCTAAATATTATGCAATATAACAATGTTCTTAGAACTCTTTATTCTTAGAAATAAAGAAGTAGACATTCAAATAGATTATAAGCGGCAAATAAATGAGCTTAAAAGAGGGCTCTCTCTGATGTAGGAAGTATTTTTTTTTTTTTTTCTGGGCTTAGCCTTTTTAGAGGTCGGTATATTGTTGGTTGTTCATACTGTTTACGTCATGCTTTAATCTTTCATTTAAGAAAACCTACTTTTGGGTTTCATTTGGCTTAATATGATGGTGAGGGTTTAAAAAAATTATGTCTTCTCAGACATATAAGAGTTGTGTCTTTTTAAATGTGAAGTTGACACCTAAACAGTCATTCAGGGTTAGCCTGAAATTTAAATTGGACCATTGTATTATTGATTTGTATTACATACATATTGGATAGTATGTATTGTTTACTGATTTTTGTTACATACATATTGGATAGTATTTCAAATAAGAGTTGAAATAAAAACCTGTCTGGCTATGTGTTAGGTAAGAGATAGGCAGATTCATTAACTCAATTATCTCTATTGGGACAGTAACTTGAGAACAAGCTCAGAAGTGAGTAGAAGCAGGAGCAAGGCATAGATAAGAAAGAAGTCATTTCACTGGGCCACCTGGAATGAGGGTTTCCTTGCCTGTCTCTCTTTTCACTTTCCTCTGTCCTCATTTACTACTTTGCTGTCTTACTTGTTTCTTCTTTTCTTCTATCTCTCTTACTTTTTCTCTAGCAGGTTCATTATCATATATTGGTTGTGTACTGTTACAGATTATTTTCCTCTGGTCTAAGGGTTGGGTAAAATCACTGGCATCCATTATGTATTTATTATCTTAGATATGTGATTGAGTTAAGAATGACAAAAGAAATCCATACAGCCCGAAAATTGGCATCTTGCACTTATGGAAATTTGGACAGCATTTTTCTGAAGACAGATGAATTTAAGGTTATAGAGTACCTTCTGCAGGAGATTCCTGAATGAAACTGGAACTGAATGAGAACTGCAAGCAACCCACCATGGTGTGCTACTTACTGGATCCTTTCAGAGCATCTGCTGACCTCATGTTGGTGAACTATTCATCGTCTCACTCTGCTATGCCTCCTGCCCCACATCCACAACACATACAGCATGTTATTTTTGGTCCTATTAATTGTGAAATCTAGGAAACTGAGTCATAGACTTTGATTTAATTTGTCATTGATGCAGTCTAATTTTTAGCAGTGCTGGAAAGTGATACACTAATGGAAACTTTGAATAAATATTTTTAACACACCATTGTTAAATCTTCTGAGATAATGTCCATAACTTTAAACCAGTATGTTACAAGTCTAAAATTTGGGAGTTTATCAATTACATAGAAATGAGAAATTATGAAATATGATACTGATATATCAGGCTGGTTCTTTTTGCAGCCAGCTGGATCATATAAAGCAGAATTACCAACTTGTTCAAACTCTGGTTATTTTTTCTCATATGCCAGATAAAAATCCTAAATACTCTGGAGGAACTAATGCTGAGTAGTGAGATACAAATCACCGAAGGAAACTTTTAACTGCTAATATTTCAAAGTTTTTCTTCGGAAAAACATGGAAATGTGAATGATTTCTGATTTGTATAATACTTAAGTGCATTTTGCTTGCCTTTCAGGCAATTTATTCTACTTAGCACAAGATGGTATATATTATCATAAATTAAGATGATTTCAAAAAGATGGAAAACTAGTTCAAAAAAGCAATTCTTTAAAAGTTCACACACAATTTTAGAGCATTTAGAAAGAGGACTTTGGAGATTTAAGAGTAACAAGCTTTGTGTTAGTAGTGGTATAAGCCTGGCCGTGTTCACAAGTAAATCAATAACAAAATCAGTCTATTACCACATCTACAGTTTTAATAGATATTGCACTATGGGACTTGTCTTTTTAAAAAGAAAATCTTGAGTTTGTAGCTTAGCTTTTGAAATTTGTACTAAAATAAATGCATCTATGAAGTCTACAAACTTCATTGTATTGTTGAGTAGAATATGTGGAATGTGAGAAGATGTGGTATTCAAAACAGATCATACTCAAAAAGAGTTGCAGACCTGTTTTTCCTATTAAATAATGAAATCGTATTCCTTCACAGCCACACATACACAAAAGAACCTGAAAATATTGGTAAGGCTATGCATATTAAACTTAATCAGTACATGAGAAGAAGCCTTCAAAAGAAGCAACGTGAATACTAAAGCATCTGTGGAAAATGCCACATTTTGAAATGAGCCCTGACTTGAGGGGGTAAATATCTGGGTTGCAGAACTTTTCCCAGCTATTTACAAACCTAATGATCTTCAGCTTGTCTTACAAATTCACTTTCTCATCCTTAAAGAGATAATAATGTTTTTCCTATCTCTGTGTTTGAGGTGCAAAATAAGAAATGTGGAAGAACTTTGTACAGTGTAAACCATTATTCAGATGTGAAGCAGTATTATATTCTGTTCATGCATAAGAATTAACCTTGTTGATGCTCAGTTGGGTCACTGTCTATTTTTTAATTTCTAAATTTTTTTCCCACTTTTAATTTTTAGTATGGACTCTAGGTCTATTTCAGAGTCATGGGTTATTTTACGTAAAACTAAACACCAGATTTGCTGTTGTAATATTGGTGAATAATTAATTCAACCATCTAATTATCAAACACATTTCTTAGTGCTTATTCTATACAAGCACTGTATTCATGTGGTACAAAAATAATCCAACACAAATATTGTCCTCATGAAGGTCACAGTTAGGAGACACAAATATGTCATTGTTGGGTCTGGGGTTTGGTTTTAGCTTACTTACAGGCTAATAACATAGCCTATTGCTGTTTCATGGATGCTGGCAGAATACATAGATTTCTGAGTCAGAGATGAAGGATTATATTATTCACAGCACAGAAAGTGGCATCATGTTTGTATTAGTTCCATTTGCCTGCTGAGTCTCAGCGGGGTGACATAGAATGAAAAGGTGGATATTACACATGCAACAGGCAGAGGGCATGTTTTGTGTTGCAGTTGCGGAACATCGAGCTTGGGAGACCCACTTTTCAAAGAGTAAATAAGCAGACCTGCTCGTCATACTGGAGGGAGAGCGTATTTCATCCCTCTAAGATTGCTTTCTACAAATACAGCCCTATGAAATGGCCCCAGGGCCCCAGCAGTCAGAGCCTTGCATTCCTGGCCTAGCAATATGAGTAGGAAAATGTGTACAACTATTATGCATCAGTGAAAAATGAAAGATGTGTAGGAGCACTCCATCAGTTCTATCTCCCAATGGTTATAAGGTAGAAATTGACAAGTGATGAGGCTTATTTGAAATTTAAATTTAAGAGATTTTAGACCTATTCCATGTTAAACAGAAAAGCTACTGCTTTCTTGTTTAATTTCTTTTTTATTGTTAACTATTTGTTGAGCACTTACTGGTGTGTGTGTTTCACTGTGGAACATCATGGTGATAAGAGGATCTTAATCCTCAGGTGCCCAGTGAGGTTTCTGTCATTTCTGTCTTTGGACTCAAAGAGATTCCTCACTTGGCACTTGTGTTGGTTCTTAACAGCACTTCTTGAGGGCTACCATTGACCATTTTCTATCATAAAACACCAATTTTATGGCAACCATTTCAATATGAGATATTAGAATCAGTGTCCCTACCGAAGGTATTTCTGGATTTCTCCATGGGTTTATGTTAGGAAAAGTCACATTTAATGTTCATCCCATTTTCCTACCTGTATTAATTGCTTTATGTTAAAAGAAGTAGCATGGTGGGTTGATGCTTCTTATGGCCAAGCAGAGATTCAAATTCAATTCTTTCTCCAGAGGTGAGGCGCATTCCATTACTGCCCACTGCATCCTGGGAACCAGAGGACATGAGAGGTGGAGGACAGAGCTTCTTTGCCTTTTCATAACGAGAGTGTAAAACAAACTGTAATATGCTCCTCAAATAAAGGTTAAACATAAATAAATAGCTCAGTTTGCCACATTTGAAATTTTTTTCTTGGAAGTCTTCATTGCTCTAAAGGTGTAGTCTGCACCATTATCTGAGGTTTTGCTTTTCAGTTCCCTGCAGTCAACTGAGATCCAAAAATATTGAATGAAAAATTCTAGAAATAAGCAATTAATAAATATAAAATTGTACAGCATGCTGAGTAACACAATGAAATCTCATGCTGTCCTGCCCAGGATGCAGATCCTCCCTTTGTCCAGTGTATCTGTGTCATACCTACTCCTGCCTGTTTGTCACTTAGTAGCTGTCTCCATTATCAGATCAACTGTCTTGGTATTGCAGTGCTTGTGTTCAACTAACCTATATTTTACCAAATAATGTCCTCAGAGCACATGAATACTGCACCTAATTTATAAATTAAACTTTGTCATAGGTATGCATGAACAGGAAAAAACATAATATGTATAGGGTTTGGTGGTTTCAGGCATCCACTGGGGTTCTTGGAATGTATCTCTCATGGATAAGGTGGAATTACTATATAAGGAACACATTTGATTCCTCAAATATGAATGAGTTAATGACTAAGAGAAGTTAATTTTTAGAATTTGAGAGGGACCTCCCACTTGGCTGTTTGAGAATTTGATGAAGATATTGCCCTGAACCAGCTGACAAGAGACAAAAAAATTTAGCGAGAGAGGAAGAGAGATTTGCTATTAAGTCAAAATACAGAGTACTGTACAGGAAAATCTTCCTTGGGAGACAACATTCTCTTCAAAAGAAAAGTGAGTTTGTTTTGGCAAGGGGCCTTGGAATTCTAGTTTGCAATTTAAATCTTAGCTAAAAATTGCATTTTTAAGGCAGGTGCTTGTCTAGCACAGGTGGTTAGTGTAGCAATCACTGTATCGACAGAAAAATATTATGATGAGGTGTGGAGACACCAACCTAATGAAATAAAATGAAAAGGAGGAAAAAAAATTGCCTCTCTCTTCTTTCCTCCTTCACATACTCCTCCAAATAATTGTAATTTAATGTTCTATTCAGAAGAACATATTTTTAACAGGGCAGCTCAATATTAATCTTAAAGTCAGAAAAATAACTTGTCATTTATTTAACCCAAGCCTGATGGGAGGTTAGATTCACTGCTGAAAGTCTGTTACAAATAGCTGGGACATTCTAAGGTCACCAAATGATGGCTGTCATTTTCTTATTCAGTCCAATGATGAAAGAGCTTTTAAATGTTTGGACATTCAATCTATGTAGTGCCACGACCTGGACATACCCTTTTACTAAACACTAGCCCACTAAATCCTCTTAGAATGTTGTTTACCTCCAGATAAATCAAACCTGACAATGTAGGTTAACTTCACTGATTCATTTTTCAGCCACAAATGATTAATAATTTTTACAGAATGAAAGCTACAGATTTCTTATTATACGGTGGACTACAGGGAGTGATATAATTCTTGGATGTCATGTGAAATGCGAAGCCATTTTTTCTGGAACTGATGTTCCCAGTTCTCTACCAAGCATAGTAGCTACCTTTCCTCCACTGGAGGATCATCCAGCAGGAATGACCTTATCAATTACTGTAAGTCAGCATCTTTCCCCCAGAGTTTGAGCAAGCTGTTCTCTGCAATTTGTACCGGTAGCCCAGGACTAAATCCCGAATCCATTTCCAAAAGCCTAAGCATGTCACGTGCTGTAGCAATGAAAGACATGTTGCTGCAGTAAGCAAAGACAAGGCTCTGTGAGGAGAGCTTTGCTGGCTGACCAGAAACCCCACACGATGAAGAAAGGCCAAGACAAAGAAGTGAAGTGAGCAGAGAAGGGAAAAAGGGCTCCTACTCTCTTGAGCCCAAGATATTTTAAAGATAAATGGCAGATTTTGCCAGCATTTATTTTGGCCAGCTTCCCCTTCTCTGTTCACTAGCTACCGAATATCTCTGGTGTTCATCGTGATTTAGTAATGATTGAGAGTTAAAGTCAGCAAATGTTTCTGCTACAGGTGTCTTGAAATTCCATCATGCCATGTTTCCAGGTTAGCTGAGCTTGTGATTTTTTTTTTTTTTTTTTTGACTTCTCATTCTGCCATTCTTGAATAGCTAACACTTTCCACATTTAGAATTGCTTTCTGGTATCCTGGCAGGGAGAGATTTCTATGAGAGATACAGCACATATAACCTCTCTTGACATCAAGGGCACAGAAATAGTTGATAAAATAGATGATTGATTACCTACTCTTTGCTCAGCACTTATATTTTCCATTAGGTTCAGAAACTTCCATTAGGTTAACACCTAGAAAGTTTTGACATTTGCCCTTAATATCTTTATTTGCTGGGATGCCTTGTGATATTCCTGCTTTGGGACTGACTGCACTTGGAAGAGCAGAGGAACTAAGTCAAGAAAAGTATTTTTTTCCCTAAAATATATTCAAATCTTAATGAAAACCCAATCTGGATTTGGTTGATGTTCAGCTTGAAGCTTTAGATTAGTTCTGATTTTATTTCTACTGGCTTGAATATACATATTCTAATCCCATATGAAAACCAACGTTTCATAATAAAATTATAGTTTTCTGTATAGTAAGACATCCATCCATTATGCGATACATAGATTCTGCAGGCATTGGACACAAGGATGAAACGGCTCCTCTTCAGCTGTTCTTTTCCACTGTGTAATTATATAATTAGGATGTAGACTATCCATCATACAATTCTTTTTGTAATTCCATGGGAAAAGCTACTGAATATGGACAACAAATGATTCCTAAACCTCAGTATCACAGCTGGTTTACATTTTTTACTCTAAATCCCGTAAGTGGGCAGGCCATGTTACAGAACTCTTTCATGCCAAATTTCCGTTTTTAAAATTGAAACCATTTGGTATTATCCAAGAGAAAGGGAGCTTTAAAGGATGGTTGACTGTTTACCTGATGTTTATGAGTCTACCCACATTGTTTTCCCTTTCTTCAAAAGACAGTTACCATCTTTAACCCGCATTGTAGCTGCTTTTTTCATCTTTTCTAATTCCTTTTTTGTATTATTCAAATTTCCACCTCTTTTTTTCTCTTTAATACATTTTAAAATTATTATTTGACTCATAGACAGCCCACATTTTAAAGTGTTCTAAATTTCCTACACAGGTTCTCACTCCAAGTCATCCTGATTTTAGTGCCCCAAACACCTACTATCTACCTTGTATCACTTCACTTCTCCCTAACAGTACAAAAAATTCTTTTAGATATACTTAAATTCAATAACTTGTATTAATGCTTTAAAAAACCCTAAATCAAACTTTTATTTACCATTGGTGGGAATGTAAAGTAGGATAACCATGATGGAGAACAGTATGGAGATTCCTCAAAAGGCTACAAATAGAACTGCCATATGATCCATCAATCCTACTACGCATTTATCTAAAGGAATGAAAATCAGTTTATCAAAGAGACAGCTGCATCCTCATGTTTACTGCAGTGCCATTCACTAAGCCAAGGTATGGACTCAACCTAGATGTCCAATAACAGGTGAATTGATAAAGAAAATATGCATACACATTGAAATACTATTCAGCCATAACAAGAGTAAAATCCTGTCATTTGTGGCAACATGGATAGAAGTGGAATATGTTAAGTGAAATAAGCTAAGAACAGAAAGTTAAACACTGAATATTCTCACCCCTATGTGGAAGCTGTAAAAAAAGTTGATCTCATAGAAGTAATAAATAGAACAGAGGATACTAGAGGCTGGGAAGAGTAAGGGGAAGGGAGGGATAGGAAGAGATTTATTAAAGGATGCAAAATTATAGCTAGATAGGAGGAATAAGTTCTAGTGTTATATAGCACTGTAGGATGACTATAGTTACTAATATAATCTAAAGTTTCAAATAGCTAGAAGGAGGACGGATATTGACTGTTCCCAACAGAAAGAAATGATAAATGTTTGAAATGATGGATATGCTAATTACCCTGATCAGATCACTAAACATTGTATATATCAAAACATCAATATGTACCCTACAAAAATGTACAACTATTATGTGTCAATTAAAAAAAACCCTAAATATGTTTAACAGAATTGGTCTTAAATAGGTTTTATCACTAATGCCATATAATAATAATAGTAATGCAATAACATAAATTGAGAAAAACTGGGACATAATTTGATGCAAGAAAGAATATGGGTCTCCTACTATCATAAATCTAGCTCAATGGAAAGACAGCAAGATATATAATATTACAGGAGACAAAATTTTATATTGATTTTTATAAATAATGCACAGTGGGAATTAAGCCAAGTGGGCCTCTTTGTTGTGCAGTTTGTTGCTTAAGTTTCTATGACTATAGAATGGAATACATTACAGGAATAAAATAATTTTTAGCTCCAATCAGTATAATCAGCATATATTTAACATCTATTCTGGGTAGGACACATACCCAGTTGAGACAAATAGAGTTGCTTATATCATAATCTCTTTTTCTCAAGTTGTTTATAATCTAACCGGGCAAATACACCTAGCATCAACAAACTAATAAATGATATTCTAAGTGTCACATATAATGTAAACAAAACATGGAGACCTATCTGAATGTCTACGGTGGCTAAATCGAAGAGTTAGCATTGGAACTGACCCTTAATCAATGGGTATTAGCTCAAAATGCAGAGAGAAAAATATAGTTCAAAATGAGAGAGTAATGGAAGCAAAAGAACATAGGCAAGAAAGTTCAGAGAACACGTAGAGAACAACAAAAATCTGGTGGGAGATGAGGTTGGAAGGGTACAATTTGATTTCAATTATGCTTTCATTTGCAGAAGTTTTATTTCTTAAAAATCTATTTTGTCCTTCTTTATAGTTTCTTATTCCTTATTCTATTTTCAAGCTTTAAAAATTCTTGAGATATTTGATATTTCATAATCTGTGTCTGATAATTACAATATCTGAAATTTTTACACATTGGGTTCTGCCATCTGCTCTTTCTGCTTGCTCCCACTCAGGATGATTTGTTATGTGTCATTAGATTTTTGATATGAACTATTCATTTCCTTTGAACCTGTATCTATGGGAGTTCTTTGAGATCTCAATTGAAGGACTCAAAGATTCTTCCAAAGAGGATTTGCCTTTGCTTTGGGGAGTTGTGTGGTGGCACTACCAACAAAAGATCACTCTAAATAAATTATTCATTTAAAGTTTTTTGACCTACATAGGTATCAGGAATTCAAAACTGTAACACCAGGAGAAGAACCTGCATGTGCTTCTCAAGATATATTTCCTTCTTCTTCAGCACCAAAATCAATATAGACAAGTAATATGGCTTAGCTGTGTGTCTCCACACAAATCTCTTCTCAAACTGTAATCCCATAATTCCCATGTGTTGAGGGAGGAACCAGGTGGGAGGTGATTGGATCATGGGGGTGGTTTCCCCCATGCTGTTCTCGTGATAGTGATGATCTGATGGTTTTATAAGTCAGTTTTCCCTGCTGTTGCTTGCTTTTTCTTTTCTGCCACCATGTGAAGAAGGTCTTTGCTTCTCCTTCTCCTTCTGCCATAATTGTAAATTTCCTGAGGCCTCTCAGCCATGTAGAACTGTGAGTCAATTAAACCTCTTTTCTTTATAAATTACCCAGTCTTGGGTAGCTCTTTATAGCAGTATGGAAACTAACTAATACAATAAATTCCCTGGCTTTCTCCTTTGGTGTGGCAGATTTATTTATTGTTCTGCCTTACACTGAGTGTGATACTCTTTGGGATCCTACATATGTGGGAGTAACCCATTCTCACCCCTTTATGATGACTGTGTGCTTTATCTACTAGTTCTCATGTATGGTGGAGCCATTAAGGAGGAGCTTAAAATCATCAGAAGTCAATAGAAAACTCTCTGACAACTGGAAATCTTTGGTAATTGCTTACATACCAGGAGTCCCTACTTTACTTCTATTTTAGCTGTTGAAGTATTCTTTCATGCTAGTTCAGCAATTAATTTCCGAAGATTATTTTTACATTTTATTTGGCATGTAGGTTATTTTAGCTGGGAAGTTCACTCAGGGTATTTAGTCTAGTCTGTTATACTGACAGAAATAGAATTCATAAAGGTAAATTCTGGGCCAAGATAAGAATCCTATTTTTTGCCTGAAAGCTAAAAATGATATTTTGTAGTTAATAGAAATTCACTGGTACTTTTTTTTTTAAAGGAGGAAAATGTGACTTACTCAGAGCTGTTACTTGGAAAGGCAGGTCTAACTAATATAAAGAGTTAGAAGGTGTTTATCATGGTTTAGATGAAAGGTGAAGAAGCTTAATCTGGGAGAGTGGCACAGGGAATAGAAAGGAGTCTAGGGCTGTAAAGCATAGCATACAGATGAGAAATTATCTTTGTTTTCATTGGTTAAACCACCTTTTTGGAATGTAGACTAAAGAGATAATATTGCTGAAGATACCAACTATAGAGGGCCTTGGTAGCTGTATCAATATAAAATCTGACTGAAATGTTAATAAAGCATTTGAATGCCAACCTGTCTATTACACCAAGGATAGATTCATATAATTGGATTTTCTAAGACAGAATTCCACTAGCATTATTCTTAGTCTCAATTTATTTGGGTAGGGTAGTCCTAACCTACCTTGAAGTATGACAAATCCCAGGGAAATGCTACCTTGCTTTTTATAATCCAGGGAAGCATCTTTCTTCTGTGATGAATTCCAGATAGAATTAAATAGTTACCCTTAATAGGCTGAAAATAGATTGCAAATTCAGTTTTAATCCATTCTCTAAGTTGTAGTCTTCTTAACACAAAGCAATCTAAAGTGAAATTTACTTTTCTTGAGAAACAATAAAAGGAAGGGTACCGAAACACAAAGGAGATGGCGGTGATTAAAATATGGGAAATAATGTCTTATTTTGTCAGTGTTCTTAAAAAGTTATACAGGAATTTGTTTTATGATACTAGATTCTAATGGCTTTATGTTTGCTGAAGAGAGCATGGCATTTATTCACCTGTCAGGCTTAAGATTTCAAGCTCACTAGGCTGTCTTTCTGTGGGACATTCATAGTTAAATTCCCCTATATATCCTGAAGAAATGGGTTGAAGATTACACTCTTAGAGTTGTTAAGAGAGTCTTAGAGATTGTTTCTTTAGACTTCTTCTACCACTGAGAAGGAGTGTGGGGTTGAGAAAAGAGGGGTGTCAGTGGTGGTGGGAATCTGGAGTCAGAAACACTTGGCTTCAATACTTACCTCTGCCTTTTACTAAATATGTGAGCTTAGCCAAGTGACCTTTCTCTTCATACCTCAGTTTATTTATAAAAATGTGAATAATGATAGTGATTTCGCAGAATTGTTTTGGGTGTTAATGAGATACTTATGAAAATGCCTAGCACAGTGTCTAGTACATTACAGGTACTCAGCAAATAATACCATACCTATTGTTATTGTTATTGCTTTATCACACGCAGCTTCTCTTTGATGTGGAATTTATGTGATTCAGCCTACGAAATGTTTATTCTAAACTCTCTGTTGAATACAAATCTGACCCCCTAAAAATTCCATTCTTTGGTCCATGTTCTGCTCTATGAAACAACAAAGGATACATACAGGCATACCTCATTGTACTGCACTTTGTTGTATTGTGCTTTGCAGATATTGCATTCTTTACAAATTAAAGGTTTGTGGCAACCCTGCAACGAGCAAGTCTATTGGTGGCGTTTTTTAACAGCATGTGCTCACTTTGTGCCTCTGTGTGACGTTTTGGTTATTCTGCCATATTTCCAACTTTTTCATTGTTATTGTATTTGTACGGTGACCTGTGATCAGTGATCTTGGATGTTACTATTTTAATTGTTTTGGGGTGTTGTGAACCGTGTCCATATTAGATGGCAAACTTAATTGATCAATGTTCTATGTGTTCTCCCTGCTCTACTGACTGGCTGTTCTCCCATCTCTACCCCTCTCTTCAGGCCTCCCTACTAGCTGAGACACAACAATATTGAAGTTAGGGGAATCAATAACCCTACAAGTGGCTTCCAAATGTTTAAGTGAAAGAAAGTAGCAAGTCTCTCGTTTTAAACCAAAAGCCTGAAATGAGGAGGCTTAGTAAGGAAGGCATAATGAAAGCTGAGACAGGCCCAAAGCTGGGCCTCCTGTACCAGTTAGCCAAGTTATGAATGCAAAGGAAAAGTTCTTGAAGGAAATTAAAATTCTATTCCAGTGAACACATGAATGATAAGGAAGCAAAACCATCTTATTGCTGATATGAAGAAAGCTTTAGTGGTCTGAATAGATTAAACTAGCCACGGCATTCCCTTAAGCCAAAGCCTAATACAGGGCAAGTCCCTAACTCTTCAATTCTGTGAAGGCTGAGAGAGGTGAGGAAGCTGCAGAAGAAAAGTTGGAAGCTAGCAGAGGTTTGTTCGTGAGGTTTAAAGAAAGTGGCCGTCTCCATAACATAAAAGGGCAAGGTGGAGCAGCAAGTGCTGTTGAAGAAGCTGTAGCAAATTATCCAGAAGATCTAGCTGAGATCATTGATGAAGTGCCTACAATAAACAACAGATTTTTTCAATGTAGATGAAATAGCTTTATATTGGAATAAGATGTCATACAGGGCTTTCATAGCTAGAAAGAAGAAGTCAATGCCTGGCTTTAAAGCTTCAAAGGACAGGCTGACTCTCACATTAGAGGGGAATGTAGCTGGTGAATTTAAGTTGAAGCCAATACTCATTTATTATTCTGAAGATCCTAAGGCCCTTAAGAATTGCATTAAATCTACTCTGCCTGTTTTCTACAAATGAAACAACAAAGCCTGGATGAGAGTAAATTTGTTTACAGCATGGTTTACTGAATATTTTTAAAAGATTGTCTTCCAAATATTACTGCTCAGCTCATTGACAATGCACCTAGTCACTCAAGAGCTCTGATGGAGAGGTATTAAGAGATGAATGTTATTTTCATGTCTGCTAACAAAAAATCCATTCTGCAGCCTATGAATCAGGGAGTAATTTTGACTTTCATGTCTTATTTAAGAAATATATTTTGTAACACTTGTAGCTATGATAGTGATTCCTCTTATCTGATGGATCTGGGCAAACTAAACTGAGAACAGTCTTGAAAAAATTCACCATTCTAGATGCTATTAAAAACATTCAGGCCAGGCGTGGTGGCTCATGCCTGTAATCCCAGCACTTTGGGAGGCCGAGGCAGGTGGATCACGAGGTCAGGAGTTCGAGACCAGCCTGGCCAAAATGGTGAAACCCCATCTCTATTAAAAATACAAAAATTAGCTGGGCGTGGTGCTGTGTGCCTGTAATCCCAACTACCTGGGAGGCTGAGGCAGGAGAATTGCTTGAACCTGGGAGGCAGAGGTTGCAGTGAGCCAAGATCATGCCACTGTACTCCAGCCTGGGCAGCAGAGCAAGACTCCATCTCAGAAAAAAAAAAAAAATTATGATTCGGGGGAAGAGGTCAAAATAACATCACCAAACTGGAATTTGAAAGAAGTTGATTTCAACTCTCATGAATGACTTTGAGGAGTTCAAGATTTCAGTGGAGGAAGTAACTACAGATGTGGTAGGAATAGCAAGAGAACTAGAATTGGAAGTGGAGCCTGAAAATGTGATTGAATTCCTCCACTCTCATGTTAAAATTTGAATGGGTGAAGAGTTGCTTCTTATAGATGAGCCAAGAAAGTGGTTTCTTGAGATGGAATCTACTCCTGGTGAAGATGCTATGAACATTGTTGAAATGACAACAAAGGATTTAGAATATTCCGTAAACCTAGTTGATAAAGCAGTGGCAGGGTTTCAGAGGATTAACTCTCATTTTGAAAGAAGTTCTACTGTGGGTAAAATGCTACTAAACAGCATGGCATGCTACAGAAAAATGGTTCATGAAAGGAAAAGTCAATCTATGTGGCCAACTTCATTGTTGTCTTATTGTCTTCTTTTAAGAAATTGCCACAACCACCCTGACCTTCAGCGACCACTACCTTGATCAGTGAGCAGCCATTAACATCAAGGCAAGACCCACCATCAGCAAAAAGGTTAATCTAAGACTTGCTGAAGGCTTAGATTATTGTTAGCATATTTTTAGCAATACAATATTTTTAAATTAAGGTATGTATGTTGATTTTAGACATAATGCTATTGCACACTTAATAGACTATACTGTAAACATAACTTTTATATGCACTGGGAAACAAAAAATTTTGTGTGACTTGCTTTCTTATCATATTTACTTCATTTTGGTTGTCTGGAATTGAGCCCACAATATCTCTGAGGTATATGTTCTTTCTTCTGGAAGACAAAATTCAATTACTTGAAAATGGTTGCCATGTTTTGGCTTAGTGTCTCCTACTTAGACTAAATGGATGTTGCAATTGGGTCAAGGGATATGAAAAAGCAGGGAGGATGTATTTCTTAGTTAAAAGGATTAGAATAAAAATGACGGTGAGAAAAATATGAAGTTACGAAATTTCTCCTTCAGTTTATCTATCTATTGCTTTCGAATTAGGCTGGACTCTACATAAAAGACATCTTCTTTTCATATTTAAGAATCATTTATATTAGAATAAACTTTTGTTTCGGGCTATGAAAATATCTTTGATATTCTTTTTTATTCTAACATTTCAATTTAATCAATAAGTATTCTGCAGGAGTTAAGTTAGGGGAGCTAAAGGATGCCAAGCATCTATTTTTCTATATTTGTTTTTACTCAATGATTCATAAGAAATTTTGTAACTTAGTTTTAAGGATATCTACGTTAGTCTACGAATACAGTATTCTGAACTCAACTCATTTTCCCAGAAGCTTGTATGTAGTATGTATGTCATTTTTCATGTTATAAATACTTATTCTACATGCACTATTTGCCAGGCACAGTGCTGAGGGCTTCAGTTAAATGTACTAAGCATCATGAAGGGTTTTATAGTGCAGTATAGTACAAATGGTTAAAGGGTTATGGTAAGGGTGATCACGGGGAAGTAGAGTGTGCTATGAACAGTCATTGGAGAAGTACATAATTCAATCTCAGGTTCAGGAAAGACTGTCTGAATAAGTGACATCTAACTGAGACAAGGAGAATGAGTGTGAGATGGCCAGATGAAAAGAGAAATGACAAATATCTCAGGCAGAGAGAATAACCAGTGGAGAGGGCAAGAAATGAGAGAAAACATGGGAACTTGGAAGAACTGGAAGAAGTTCAATACGGCGGAAGCATAGAGCATGAGAACTGAAGGTAGGAAATTCAGAGGCTTGACCATGAGAGAACATGAAATTCATGCTGAGGGGTTTGGACTCTATCAAAAGAGTGATAGAAATGTGGTGAGATGGTTATGGAGGCAGAGATGAGAATGATGCACCTAAGATACGAGGAGCTAGGAAGAGGCAAGGAAGAATCTTCCTCCAGAGCCATCAGACAGAGCCTGGCATGGCTGAAAACTTGATTTTAGACTTCCAGTCTTCAGAAATGAGGGAGAAAAAAATTCTGTTGTTTTAACACACCTGATTTGTGGTACTTTGTTATGGCAGCCTTAAGAAACCAATACAAATAAAAACTTGAAAAACACCATGGTCAGGGGAAGAAGGGCTTGACTGAAGAGTACCAGTCAGAATGGCAAGAGGAAGAAAACTGAGGAGATCAATGTCACAGAAGTCAAGTTGAAGATTTCATGAAGGATAATAGCAGTCAACAGTGCCACATGCTGCCAAGAAGTCACATAGATACGGACCAAAATGTCCAGAGAATTAATTGCAAGATAGTCACAAACTTGGTTAACTTGGGAAAAGAAGTTTTCATGGTATGGTGGGCTGAGGAAGTGCACATAGGAGGTAAAATCAGCACATGTAACAATGCTTTCAAGAAATTTGCTGGGACAATGAAGTGCAGGAAGGTAACCACAAAGTGATGTGGGGAATAGGGGACAGTGATTTCTAAATCTAGAGAGACTTGAGCATGTTTAAAGTGCTGACAGCGAGGAACCCCCAGAGAGGCAGAGGCTGAAGACAGAAGTGATAAAGAAGGAATCATCAACTGAGCCATGTCTCTGAGAAGACTGAAAGTGATGAGCTCCAGAGATTAGGTGAAGGGACAGCCTCTTCTTTCATTGTTCCAGAAAGAAACAAAGGAATGATAGGGAGAGGCACAGACACATATGTAGGCTTGTGAAAGAAAGTTCAAGGACTTCTGTTTCCTGTATGAGGTGAGGTCTTTGGCTGAAAGAGGAGATCCGTGGTGAGACTAGTTTTAGGGGAGTGGAAAACGTTTGAAATAGTCTGTGCATAACTGAGAGAAAGCTGATGAAGGACTGTGGCAGGCAGGCAGCAGCGAGGGTGCAGCTGAGGTTGAAAAGCCAATGTTAGTATTGGCATCAGGTGTTTGGCTGTGCTTTCTGCTAGCTGCATCGCGTAGTCTCAATGGAGGCCAGGGTGGCGATGTTTCAACTGACTCAGGTTTGGAGCTTTTTTAGGCAAGTGGAACGACCATCAGTGAGGCAGAAGATTTGAGGAAGATGGCAAGGGAGTCGCCAAAGCAGTAGACCGTGGGCCCAAAGTTTAAAGAGAGAGAAGTAAAGGCAGGAGATGGCTGATAGTTGCAGAGAGAAAGATGCTAGAGGTCTCCCTGAGGTTAGAGAGTAACGTGAGCAACTGACATCCATCTACTGAATGTATACTTGGTGCCCAGCTCTGTGCTTGAGGAGACGGTAGTAAGATAAATACTAGACAGGAAAACAAAAGCCACAGTGCTTGCCCTTGAAAAATCCAGTCTAGCTGGATTATTGTGAGTGTTTGAAGTGTTAGGTTCTTAAATACTTCTATAGAGTTTAAGAGGAGCAGAGATTGATTAAAAGCCACAGTTGAATGGTGCTTTCACTTTTGGGTACCCCAAATGGCTCAATTTTAGAATTGAATCATCTCTTCCTTTTAACTAAGTTGAGCTTTAATGAGTAAGTTTTCCCTACTTGTGTGCTTTGCAGCACATTTTTTTTAATTAAAACAATTTTAAATGCTCTTTTAAAAATACTTTCATATTATTGTTTCCATAACTATTCATCAGATTAGTTTTGAAGCTCTGATCTTTTCACTATGCATTTCTCTAGCTGTGTAGCGATTACAAGAACAAACTGACACTGCTTGGAGCTCACACATAGAGTTTTGTGGTTATTGATGAGCCTGGGAATTTTGTGAACTTCAGGAGTAATGTTGGTACTAGAATACAATGCACAAAACTATAGTTTGCTGTGTACTCTTGTCATAAAATTATGTTCTGATATTATAGAAATATTATGTGCTATAATTATACTTGAATCTATTTCAACTTATTTAAATCCATGGAATGTAAACAGACTTAGATTCTTATCTCTTAATAGCTTTTTTCCCCATCTTTACTAGAAAGTGAGAAAAAATTAGTTATTTTTGTAAATTGGCAGCTCATATGTATTTTAGAGTAATGTGATAATGATGAATTGAAATAAAATGTGTTTCCTCTAAAGCAGTCTACCAACAATAATTCAGGAGTCATAAGAACTCACCTGCTTTATAAAGCAGGCATTGTCTACCATTCTAAAATGATTTTCCGTGGGAAAAAAATGGTTAAATTCAGTTGAAAAATCATGTTATTTTGGAGAAAAAATGATTCCTAATTTTAACTAAATTTATCGATTCAAAAATAAAGGATGTGTGTTTCCTTTGTGCAGTGTTGGTTTCCTCTGAGACCTCACTCTGGCCTATAGATGATTGTCTTCTCCCTGTGTCTTCACATGGTCTTCCTTCTGTGTGTGTTTGTGTCCAAATTTTCTCTTCTTATACGAACACCATATTGGATTAGGGCCAATCCTATGACTTTATCTTAACTCTTTGAAGATCCGATCAAATACAGTCACATTCTGAGCTATAGTGTGGTTAAGACTTCAACATATAGATTTTGGGCAGAAATAATTCAGTCTACTACAGGAAACAAAGCAGACAAATACCTGCTCTGTGGAATTCATACTCTAGTGTAGGGATTGGCAAACACTTTCTGAAAGGATCAGACAATAAATATCTTAGCCTTCAAAAGCCACATGCAGTCTCTGTTGCATAATTCTGGATTTGGCTTGTGGGCCTTAGTTTAGTAATCCCTGCTCTAGAGTAACAAACAACTGCATATATGACATAATGTCAGGTACAAATAAGTGCAAGGAACATGCATAGAACTTGGTAAGTGCACATAGAGTGACATTAGGGTACTATTTGGTGGTTGGGAAGAGACATGACATTTGAAGGGTTTTCTCTTAAAATGAAGAGTGAAGTGAGTCTCACGTGAATGAAGTAAGGGAACAAATGACCCAGGCAGAGACGGTGGCACATGCAAGGTACTTGCGTAGGAGCATGCATGAGATGCTTCAGGAATGATGAGGAGGACGCTGTGGCTGGAGTGCACCTAAATGTATTCACCTGTTAGTCTAAATACACTCAGGTATTGGCATTTAAGCAGATTTCCCCCAACCAAGTCATACACTAATGCTAATCTTGATGTTTTAAAATTCACTGATATATTTGCCTCTTGATTGTAATTCTGATAATTTTACAACATTGGACCTTATTGGAACATCATTTTAAATGTATTTAATGTACTAATTTAAGCAGTATGCAAACCTAGTTTACCTGGAAGAATTTAGAAAATAAAGACTCAAGTCTAAAAAAAAAAAGAATGAGATGAGATCATGTCTTTTGCAGGGCATGGATGAAGCTGAAAGCCATCATTCTCGGCATACTAACACAGGAACAGAAAACCAAACACCTCATGTTCTCACTCATAAGTGGGAGTTGAATAATGAGAACACATGGACACAGGGAGGAACAACACACACTGGGGCCTGTTAGGGGGTGGGGTGGAAGGGGAGGGGGAGAGCATTAGAACAAATAGCTAATGCATGCGGGGCTTAAAACCTAGATGATGTGTTGACAGTTGCAGCAAACCACCATGGCACATGTATACCTAGGTAACAAACCTGCACATTCTGCACATGTATCCCAGAACTTAAAGTAAAATTAAAAAACTAAAAACAGAAAGATGGAAAAGAAAACACTCAAGCGTTCTTAAATGTCCTTCAAGACTTCAGCTTATTCAGAATGTATGCAACACTGGGATTAAACCTCCTTAACAATAATGTTTTATTACAACCATACCCAAGGATGCTGGAGTAGTGCTGGAAGTTCCTAATGGAAGGGCTAGAGTAAGGAAGGCGATTCTTGCTCTGGCCAGGGGCTGGCCATTCTGAAATTTGATATGCCCTATGTGGTCTTGGAGAGCTCAACATTATGTCACTCTCTCGACTGCTCTAGACATTTGTCCTCAGACCTTGACTTGTATTTAGTGTGAGTTTTGATATAATCAAATTTATTAAAATCTGTGATAAAGAAAAAAATCTTAAAACCGGCTAGAAAAAGATTTTGGTCATTCTTTCTTCAAACAGGAAGAACAACTTCCTGGCATTTCCTTCAGTGATTAAAATTACATGTATGTTAGGATTCTCCACATTGTTCCATAGCTCACTCATGCTCTCTTCAATTTGTTTTCAGTTCTATTTTTTTTCTCTGTGTGTTCTTTTACATAGTTTTTACTCTGATACATTAAGTTTACTAAATTGTTTTCTTCTGCGTTGTCTAAACTATTGTTGATTCCTTTCACTATATTTTTTGCTTCGAATTTCAGATATTATTTTCATCTCCAAAAGTTTGATTTTGCTCTTCTATGTGTCTCCTTTAAGTGTTCATCCTTTTCTATACCTTTCTAAAAATATGAAATGAGTTATAAAAACCCTTTTAATGTCATTGTCTACTAATTTTGACATCTGAGACACTTCTGGACAGATTTTGATGAGCTGATTATGGGTTATGTTTTCTTGTTTCTTTGCTTGCCTGGTAAACTTTGACTGAATGCCAGATATTGTAAGTTTTACATTGTTGGGCCCTAGACATTTTTATATATCTAGAAATAGTTATAAGCTTTGTTATTGCAGTTAAATTACTAAAAATAAATTTTTTTGAGGCTTGCTGTCAAGCTTTTCAAGGCCTAACCAGAACAGCCTTTAATCTATAGCTACTTTTGTCCTACTACTGAGTCAGTAGCCTTGTGTGTGAGCTCTGGGGATTGCTCCCTCAGTTTCTTTTTGGGTGATCTTCTTCTAGTCTTGGTTAATTAGTTCCTTCATATCATGCACTAGTCAGTACACAGCTGAAGACTTGAGGGAAACCTTATGCACATTTGAAACGCTCTCTGTGCAGCTTTTGTCTCCCTGGTACTCTGCCGTGATTACTCCAGCTACGTTGGACTTCCTACACTCTCAGCTCTGTCTCCTCAATACATGAGGTTTTATGTGGTTCAGGTTTCTCACTCACTGCCTTGGCCTAGAAATTTATTCCAAGTAATAAACATGGGAAATCTTAATGCTCTTTATTTATTTGCTTCTTTGTCCTGTGCTGCCCGATGTCCAACGTGTGAAAATCGTTGTTTCATGTATTTTGTTTACTAGTATTGTTTTTCGGGTGAGAGGGTAAATCCGGTCCCTGTTACTCTGTGTTACTCCATTTTGTTTAGAAGCTGAAAGTCTATACTGTCATTCCAAAAGTTTTCAAGAGACAGATCATTAAGTTAATATAGTATGAGAAATACTGGAAGTAGCTACTAACTGTAGGGAAAATAAGCTGGTAGGAACTGAGAAGAGGTAAGGCTTCAACTGTCTGGAATGGGCTTACAGCTGGGATGTTGTGCCTAAGAGGATGTTTGCGGACACAGAAGTAGATAGGAGAAAAGATGGAGAGTGTTGCTCATGACATTCTATCCCAAGAAAATAAGGGAAACTAAAACATATGTCATCCTGGTGCTTAGGGCTACCAGTCATCTCCACTCAGATGATAAATTATAGCAGATTTCAGTATTTGTTATACATGCAAATAAGAAATGAACACCTAATTTGTAATAGATTAATTTCTCAAATTCACACTCAGGAACATAGGATAAAATATGTTCCATAAATTCTTACAGAATAACAAGAGTAGACAACAAGCTATATAAAGAAGATGGAAGCTGCTGAGAGGACTGGAAGACCTACTCACTAGTCAAAGGTTCATTCCTACACTCTACTCTAGCAAAGTTATACATTTCTACATGTCATGGGTCTTTGGGGTTGTTCTGAAACCTTGAATGCAGAATACATGAATGCCAAAGTTTTATATTATTTTCGGTTGTTTCTCTGCATGACTAAGGCACGGAGGTTTGAGAAGGAAAAGAAAAAACCTGAAGAAGCCAAAAAAAATGTCTAAGCCATTATTCTTTGAATTTGGTCTTTATTAATTTAACATTGCTCTGAGAAGCTAAATCTCTAAGTGAAACATCAGGATGACACCAAAATACCCTGTCCTCGGAATGACAGAGCAGTGCTTGTCCCTGCTCTGCTTTACTATGTACTGGAAAGAGTGAGCCAACCTATTACCTCTTTATATCCTTTTTATTCTTAGATCTTAAGTATTACTAGTCCAGGAAATAGGTGCCATAAATCATCTTTAGTGGTTGGGCCTAGTTCATTGAAATAAGCTTCTTAAACATGGACTTTAAAATAGTTTTAAATTGAGGGGAAGCAAGTAGCTTGGTGTTTCAGACCTGGAATGCTGTTCAAGGCTCATGAGTTGGAATGTAAGAGAAAAATGAGAGAGTATTTGGTCAAGAGATTCATTTAGGATGCAGGGAGGAGAAAAGTGACACAATAGGATTTATATATGGGGACTTCGAACAGTCTCTGGCTACTGGATTCCTACTCTCTTTGATATAAAGAACATTTAGCCCACTTGGAAATTAAACTAATCTCATTCTCCAGGACCAGTTTTAATGGAGCTGGATTCTCAACCATGAGACAAACACAGGTATAAGCAATAAATATTATTCCAATAAAGAGTTATTTATATTTTATCCGTGATAAAACCCATCACAAGTGATTGACATTGGATAATTTTAAGCTTCAGAGTTCAACTTAGTTTCTTTCCGAATTAGAGCATTCAGAATTAAAATTTGGCTAGAAAGCCTGAGAACAAATCAGGGTGATTTTGAAATTATTTTCTATTTGTAGAACTACTATTTTTGATGTAACCTTTAAGAAAAATCCCCTTCTTTCTTAGCTAACCCTTTGGAGCTTTAATTAAAATTGAGGAGTTCTTTATTTTGGTCTAGCATTTAATTTATACATGCATGATTCAGTTCTGTTGGTGTGTTAGGCCGTTCTTGCATTGCTATAAAGAAATACCTGAGACTGGGTAATTTATAAAGAAAAGAAGTTTAATTGGCTTATGGTTCCACAAGCTGTAGAGAAAGCATGGAAGCATCTACTTCTGGGGCGGCCTCAGGGAGCTTTTACTTATGGTGGAAGTCAAAGCAGGAGCAGGCATCTTACATGGCCGGAACAGGACCAAGGTGGGAGGAGGTGCCACACACTTATTAACAATCAGATCTCATTAGAACTCACTATGGTGATGACAGCACCAAGGGCAATTGTATTAAATCATGAGAAACCGCCCCCATGATCCAATCACCTCCAACCAGGCCCCACCTCCAATATTGAGGATTAGAGTTGAACATAAGATTTGGGTGAGGACACAGATCCAAACCATATTATTCCACCATTGTGGGACATTGGTCCCACAAATGTCATTTTTTTTCACATTCAAAATACAGTCACCCATTTCCAACAGTCCCCCAAAGCCTTAACTCATTCCAGCATTAACTAAAAAGTCTAGAGTCCCAAGTCTCACCTGAGACAAGGCAAGTCCCTTCTGCCTATGAACCTGTAAAATCAAAAAATAAAAAGTTAGTTATTTCCAAGATACAATGGGAATATAGGCATGGAATAAGTACTCCCATTCCCAAAGAGATAAATCAGTCAAAAGAAAGGGACTACAGGCCCCACACAAGTCTGAAGCCCAGCAGGGCAGTCATTAAATCTTAAAGCTCTAAAATAATCTCCTTTGACTCTGTGTCTCACATCCAGGGCACACTGGTGTGAAGGGTAGGCTCCCAAGGCCTTGGGTAGCTTTTCCCCTGTGGCTTTGCAGGGTTCAGCCCCTGCAGCTTCTCTCAAGGGCTGGCATTGAGTGCCTGCAGCTTTTCCATGCGGAGGGTGTGAGCTACTGGTGGATCTACCATTCTAGGTTCTGGAGTCTGTTGGACCTCTTCTCACAGCTCCACTAGGCAGTGCCCTAGTGGGGACTCTGTGTGAGGGCTTCAACCTCAAATTTCCCCTACACACTTCCCTAGCAGAGGTTCTCTGTGAGGGCTCTGTTTCTGCAGCAGGCTTCTGCCTGGACATTCAGGTTTTCCTGTATATCTTCTGAAATTTCAGGGGAGGCTCCCAAGCCTCAGTACCTGCATTCTGTGGATCTGCAAGCTTAATATGATGTGGAAGCCACTAAGACTTCTCTAGCCTGCAGCCTCTGAAGCAGCAGCCAGAACTGTACCTGGACCCCTTTGAGCCATTGCTAGAGCTGGAGTGGCCAGGATGTAGAGAGTGGCATTGTGAGGCTGTGCAGGGCAGTGGGGCCCTGGGCCTGGCCCATGAAACCGTTCTTCCCTCCCAGGCCTCCAGGCCTGTGATGGGAGGGACTGCCACAAAGATTTCGAGATAACTGTAAGGCTTTTTCTTCACTGTCTTGGCTATTAGCACTTCGCTCCTTTTTACTTATGCAAATTTCTATAGCTGGTTTGAATTTCTCCACTGCAAATGGGCTTTTCTTTTCTATCACATGGCTAGGCTGCAAATTTTCCAAACTTTTATGCTCTGCTTTTCTTTTAAATATAAGTTCCCATTTCAGATATTTTCTTTGCTCATGCATATGAGAATAGGCTGTTAGAAACAGCCAGGCAACATCTTGAACACTTTGCTGCTTAGGAATTTCTTCTGCCAGATACCCTAAATCATCTCTCAAGTTCAAAGTTCCACAGATCCCTAGAGCAGGAGTAAAATGCAGCCTGGCTCTTTGCTAGGGCATAACAAAAGTGCCCTTTGCTCCAGTTCCCCAAAAGTTTCTTATTTTCATCTGAGACCTCATCAGCCTTGACTTCCCTGTCCCTATCAGTATCAAAATGTGGGTTGCAATCATTCAACAAGTCTCTAGGAAGTTCAAAATTTTTCCTCATCTTTCTGTCTTATTCTGAGCCCTTCAAACTCTTCCAATCTCCGTCCATTATGCAGTTCCAAAGCCACTTCGCATTTTCAGGTATCTTTATAGCAATACCCCACTTCTGGTGCCCCACTACTTGGTACCAAATTTCTGTATGAGGCTGTTCTTTTATTGCTATAAAGAAATACCTGAGACTGGGTCATTTATAAGAAAGGAGGTTTAATTGGCTCATGGTTCCACAGGCTGTGCAGGAAACATGGTGCCTTCTGCTTCTGGGAAATCCTTAGGGAGTTTTTACCTAGGGCAAAAGGCAAAGTGGAATCAGGCATCTTATATGGCAGAAATGGGGAAGATGGGGCAGCTCTCTCTTATATGAGAGAGCTGGGGGAGGTGCCACACACATTTTAACAACCAGATCTTGTGAGAACTCACTGTCGTGATGACAGCACCAAGGGGGTTTGTGTTAAACCATGAGAAACCACCCTGTGATTCAATCTCCTCTCACCAGGCCCTACCTCCAACAGTGAGGATTAAAATTGAACATGAGATTTGGGTGAGGACACAGATCCAGATCATATCAGTAGGTGTTTCTGTATGACTACTATGTTTAAGGTAGCTTATTAAGTGCTATGGGTATAGGCATACAAAAAAAAAATATAAAACAAAGCTCCTTTTATGTAGAGAAGATGAGTCATGGGCCAAAATACAGTTGTTCAGTGACAGGTATGGTATGTATAGGTTGTGATGGGTCATCCAATGAAGAAGAGAGCATTTCTGGATGAAGAATTAGGAAAGAGACTATGGAGAGAATGCATTTTTCACTGGGACTTGGAGGATAGTTATATTTTTAAAGTTAGAGTCAAATAGTTGCAGAAAATAGAGGCTGGGAAAGTGTTTATCTAGCAGAAAATGAAGTCAAGGAAATGAATTCAGGGATTCCAGTCTTACTTTGATAAAATAATTATATATATATATATATATATATATATATATATATATATATGTATATACACACTCACACACACACACACATACACAGAGAGAGAGAGATCAGTTATTACTTGAAGGAAAGACCTGAGTTCTCAAAAAGAAAGAAAACAAAACTCAGGGAATAAGAAGAAAATATATAATAAATATGTTATATGTAATAAATACAATATTTATTTTACAATTTTATCACAAATTTCAGCTGAGTGTATGTAAATTTTGGAATGTGCATATTCCTTTTTATTCTTTCAAGGCTTGGAAGAAAATTATTTATTCCATATTCCAGAAAGGAACTTTAATTTGTGCAAGTGGTACTTGCTGGTGTTTTCCAACACAGGCTAACCACAGGTGGCATGGAGTTTAACACATAATAGGAGATCAATAATCATCTTGTTTATTAAAGGAACATCAGCTCCTCAAACCTTCCCTGCAATGTGGGATAGGGTGTGGAGCATGGGCGTGAGGATTCAGTTTACTCCTGACTGGGTTTAGTTTCTTCTAATAAGCTTCTTCCTGGGGTCCTGAAGATAGAATTGTGCATGCCGTATGCTGAATATTTACTTGGGACACAGATTATAAACCAACATCAAAAGACTATGCCATGAGCTGTGTTAGCACCTCATTAACACTCCCTACACAAGAATCACAGGCATAGAACATATCCTGTCAGGTCTGCTTTCTGCATGTAGACATAACCAATACTCATTCTGAGCTAAATGAGTCTTTGTTTTCTTTGGAATCTTATGTTTTGGAAGGAAAGGAGGAAAAGAGGGATGCAGGATAGTTAGTGGTATAAAAGGGTGATCCAATTTGTTTCTTATTTGACTCTTCTGTATCTATATAAGAACATTGTTTTAAATGTGCAGTACTGATTTCTTTCAGAGATTTTTTAAAAAGAGGAACAAATGATTATATGTCTAGTCAATTGATGGCTAAATTTAAGGAATCTTCAGGTATAAGAGCATTTTTTTAAGAATAAGAGCATTTTTTTAAGACATTACTGATTGTTTCCACTTTTCCTCTTCTTGGAATGCTGATTAGCCATAATGGATAAATAATTATTATGGATGGAGATTTACATAACAGATGAATCTGTTTATAAACTCTGCTGAGCTTCAGACCATCCTGCCAACCTTTTTAGAAAGCCATACAAACTATTTATTGGTGTCTGCAGCTCCCAAATAGCTTCTCCTAATTACAAGTATTTAAACATAAATGAAAGTGGAAGTTTGGAATTGATGTAGTAGGCATTTCTAATAAAATTTCAAATTGGCAGGAAAACCCAGTTCTACTCACACAGCATGATAATTTTTTTTCTATTTTATAATTAACAAAATTCATTCACATAAATGGCAGCAGATCCTAAATGTGGGGGCTGGGGGTAGGGAGGAATGAATTATTGACCTTCACAGATGAGATCTTTTTCAGAGTCTTATCCACTGAGATACCCATGAAAATGCAAAACTGTAAAATGAGATTTTTTTTTCTTATTGATTTGGTCAGTTGGTAAAAGGGGGATGACAATAAGGGGAATGTACAGTCCCCCATGTTCTGATCTTTCTGAGTTTGCAATAGAGAGGTTATACATTTCATTTGAGCTGACAGGAATTTGAAATGTTATAGATAGGTTTCCTGAGCCCAACCATTATTTACTGTTTGACTATACTGTCAGTCTCTTTCTGCTTTTTCAATATTGTTTGCACTTTACCTTTGTGAAACAGGCCTTGATTGAGCCATACAAGGGGAGATATTTCTATCTTTCTGTGGGATCAATGAAGATGTGTTTACAGGTCCCCTGAACAGTGTACACACCACAATAATGGATTTTAGTCCATGTTGACTGAAAGCTCTTTTTCTTTGTTACTTGTCAATCTCGTATCTATTACTTGATTGCAACATAAAAGGCTATTTGGCCAAGCACTGAAACAACAACTGTATCAGTCAAGCTGAAGTGGTTACCTGAACTAAATACATTCAGCCCTTAGCCCACAAGTCACTTACAACTTGAAAGCAGGCAAGACTTTATTTGCCTCCACATTTAGAAGCCATTTCATAGTTTTACTCAGCTAAATTTTTAGATTTTTTTTCTTTGAAAGAAGTTATAATTAATGTGCAGTTATGACAAAAAGTGGTTCCAGTTCACTTTAATCAGATAATTACATACATAAGAAGATGTCTGTTATTATTTCTTGAAGGAGAGACCTGAGTTTTCAAAAGGAAAGAAAGTTCCACACACCGAGTGAAGTTTCTGCTTCTTGAAAGTGGAGGCTGGTTTTCAAGCTTGTAAAGAAAATAATGAGTCCCTCCATTCCACATATAGGTATGCCTACTTAGAAAATGATGCTGTAAGACTGGAGATGAGAAATTTCCTCCTTCTGGTCATTTCAGTGACAGCTTCATTACAGTAAGTTAGATATCCTTCTGTTAATCATTTAACCTCTAGAGCAGTTAAAGGTCGTGGCCCACTTCCAGCCATCTTGAAGATGGCCCAGAATATCTGGGTCAGTACTGACTCAATGCCCTTGAGCTTAGATTATAATTATTTTTAGACTAAAACAAGAATTAAATTGGCATATATGCTAAAGATGACTGGACATGGGGAAACTTTTTCAGGGAAACCATTTCCCCTGTCACTTTTTTTTTTCCTAAAATTACCCAGCACCATTCATCTGGGAAACCATGGACAAAGAATTTAATAGGAAATTCTTTGGGAATAAATACATTATTACTAGTTCTATAGCACAAGTATTGACTTTAAAGTAATGGGAATAAATTTTACTACCATAAGCATATTTCACTCCCTGTAACAGATACTTGGAAAAGATACATGTAAATTAAATTTTAATAAATAACATTATACTTAGAATCTTCATCAGTAAAAAAATTGTTTTGAATTTAGCTTTAATATAAAGAAACTAGCTTGCAATATGTGCATTCATTCATGAATTCTTTGTTTTGTAAGCTTGTATTTCTGTATAACAGATAAAACACAATTGAGCCTACTAATGCTCTCTTGAAAGAAATCTGTGCCAGTTTTTGCACTTCAGAATTTTTTAGTTGGATGGTACCATTATCTTTCAGACAAAGAAACTGAGACCTGGAATAATCAGGTGATACATCCAAGTTTTTGTAGTTAGTCTCTGATGAAACTGGATTCAGAACACAGAACTCTAGATGCCTAATCTAGTACTTATTTCCCCAAGTTCACTACTCTAAGGAGATAGGAAGGAGAACCCATTTGGGAGCTGTATTAGTTTGCTAGGGCTGCGGTAATGAAGTACCACAAACTGGGTGGTTTAATAACAGAAATTTATTGTCTCACAGTTCTAAAGGCAAGAAGTCTGAGATCAAGGTGTCATCAAGGTTGGTTCCTTTTGAGGGCTGTGAGGAAGAATCTGTTCCATGCCTTCTTGGCTTCTGGTGGTTTGCTGACACTCTGCTGTTCGTTGACTTGTAGACATATCACCCCATCTCTGCTCTGGATTTCACATGGAGTTCTTCTTTGGTGCATGTCTGTCCCCAGATTTCTCCTTTTTATTGGGGCACCAGTCATTACGGATGAGGGCTCACCTAATGAGCTCATTTTAATGTGATTATTCGGTAAATGTCCTATCTCCAAATCAGGTCATATTCTGAGGTACTAGATGTTAGAACTTCAACATACAAATGGGGGCAGGGGGAATATAATTCAACCCATAACAAGGGCTCTCTAATTCTCAGTTTAGTAAGTCTTATTATTTCAGAGGCCATGAAAAGGGGAAGGAAGGAGGAAGGCAAAATTTTATTTAACAAACAAACAAAACAAGGAAATACTCCAAATCCTTTTTCCCCCATAAGAAATGTAATTAACAGTGTAAACATATTAGATGGATTTCAAGGGGAGAAGGAGCAATTTCTAAGTGTCCTGAAGTGTTTTTGTATACAAATAAACAATATCCTAATTGCAAATAATTCTCATCTGTGCATTACTGTGGTTCTCTAAGATTCTATTTTAAATAACATTTATCATCCTAATTTGAATTGTTCTGTTTCTTCATAATAAAACTGCAATTTATTTCATGATCAAAGCTTTTTACAAGTCCAATCAGCTTGTTTATTAGAAATCAGCAGGATTTAAGATTTAATAAAAAACACTGAACACATATACATCTATTGGAATATTCTCTATAACCACTTTCAGTGGATTTTTGTCAGTTTACCAATTTCTTGAAGTTTCTGCCTCCTATTTTTTTTTTTTCCCAGAGACAGCGTCTTGCACTGTAACCTGGGCTGGAGTGCAGTCATGGCTCACTGCAGCTTCAAACTTCTAGGTTCAGTCCATCCTCCTGCCTCAGCCTCCTGAGTAGTTGGGATTACAGGCATGTACTAATTTTTAGTACAAATTAGGCATAAATTTTAGTATAAATTAGGCATGTACTAATTTCAGCTAATTTTTTAAGTTTTTGTGAAGACAGGGTCTTGCTCTGTTGCCCAGACTGGTCTTGAACTCCTGGGCTTAAGCAATCTTCCAGCCTCAGCCCCTCAAAGCACTGGGATTATAAGCATGAGCCACCATGCCCAGCCCCTACCACAGTTATCCTTAACTGTCAAGCCTCTACGTATGAAGTCTTGAGCTCAACATGTGCTCTCACATATGGACTGGGCTTCTTGGGGAGGATTTATCGGTTGTGAATGCTTCTGTTGATCATCTTAACAATAACATCTTCCATAGAGCTCAATACAGGGAAGGGTAAACCTAGGAAAGAGCGGAAGAGTTGATGAGGAGTGGGGAAGATTAATAAGGAGGTCCTTCCTAATTTTATTTTCAACTGACACTGCTTATGGTGATGTCTTCTATTTTTCCATGCAAACAAAAGAAAGAAATGTACCTGCAAGACAAACAAAATGATAAATACACTGTCCGGCTACCCATGCAAGACTCTTAGAACCTTTGGCTTTTTGAAGGTTTGGGGGATACAGATGAGCACTCTTCTGAGGGGAGCTGTGGATCATCCTGTCAGTACTTCTCAAGCTGCTGTGTGCACACCCCCAGAAATGTTCCGGGAATACTAGATGTCACAGTCAAAAAGATGCATTTTCCTTAGACTTTTACTAGAGATTTTTCGAGTTTTAGAGTTTTTACTAGAGGTTTTAGAGTTTTACTAGAGATCATAGGTAGGTGTTCTGATTTTCTAAACTCTTCAGAAAGTTTTATTGCATGCATGCGAAAGCAAAGGTAGCAACTCAGTGAAGAAAGGATTTCTGCAGTTAATTAAAATTTAGTTCTGTGGTATGGAGTTGTGCAGTGCTATCAAACACTGCAGAATTATCATGAACAGGTTAACACGTTGAAGCACTATGGTAAAATCATTATGCCGATGTGATTAGCCAATGCCATTAAGGCTTATCTTCAAAATAACAAATATTGCCATATAAATGTGTGAATTTTTCACCAGGCCTGCAGGGGTCCAAACAGTTATATGCATATGCATATATATACATATATATATACTTATTTATTTATATATATGTATTCCTTGATTAAAGAAAATTAATCTCATTACAAGGCAACATTTAAAAATATTTTGATTATATAAAACATCATTGGTGCCTATAAATATGTTCATCTTCTTTCTGCAATTGCAATCAACCACTCTAATTTTGGTTTATAAAAATATAAGTAAAAATAGTTTCTCAATTTAGCTTCTTCTGGAAGTCAACCACAGGACAAGGTTTTGAGTGCAAGTAGTTTAACTGGGAAGTGATTTTGGAAGACGTTACTGGAGAGTAGGCAAATGAGTCAAGAAAATGTAGTGAAACAATAAGGGGAAAGAGTGTATTATTAAGGTATATGGAATGTGGAAAACTGAGGTGCAAGTCCTCTGGGAATTCTGGGATACAGTATGGAGCACACCTCAGAGTCAGCATGACAGAGGGGCCAGGAAAACTAGGGTATTTAACCACTGCTTCCATCTGTCATATTTGAAACTATGTCTATGAGCTCTTACTGTTTGAGACTTGTAGCTCATCCTGGTCCCTCAGTGAGTGTGCTCCTACATCCAGGAAGAAGATCTCAGGCAGAGACTTGGAGGTGTTTCCAGTAAGCAGCCTTCAGTGTACAAAGAAGAATGGCCAGAAAGTGGGGAAGGGAGGGCACACACAGCATCTACTGCAGTTACTTCCACAGTAAAAAACAACAACAGAAATTATCACAGCCTCCTTCAAGGTCAATTTCAGAATTACCATGGAAAGTGATTCTCAAATAACAAAGAAAAATTCAATGATGTATATCTGGTCAAATCTGTCCAAAGAAGAAATAGACTCAAAGAGTTGCTGTTACTGAATGTTCAAATGATGCATTTATTGTGGTCTTAAATGTATTCATGAACAACTATTTGAAAAATTGAAGTTAACCTAGTTCTTTAATATGTGGCATGAAAACATGTATTCATATTAATCCTTATGCTTTACATTTGTATTGATGGCATATATGAAGCCATGCTAATTTGATGAATATTTAGTGTTGCAATAAGTGGCAAAGAAGTGTTCTGCCAATAAGTAATTTCAAAATCATGATGTTGACTGGGAAAAGATGTGCATGCAACTGAGCCCAGATGGGGAAAAACCCAGGATATGAAAAGCTGCTGTGAAGGTCATGCTGCCCTCTCCCTGACAGCAGCCACCACAGTTTCAAGCAGAACACCAAGCTCCAAAAGTTGACCTCTTGATTTTTTTGATGTATACAGCAAGGTGCTAAAAGGCAATATTTATTTAACACAATGGTTTGAAAAAATTTCATTTTAGAAAATTTGTTATGGATTTGTTTAAAAAATATAAAATTATAGCTAAATAGGAAGAATAAGTTCTAATGTTCTATACCACTGTAGGATGACTATAGTTAACACTAACGTATAGTTTCATTTAGCTATAATTGAATAGGAGGATATTGAACATTCCCAACACCAAGAAATGACAAATGCTTGAGATGATGGATATTCCAGTTACCCTGGTCTGATCACTGTACATTGTATGTATCAAAATGTAACAATGTACTCCATGAATATGTAATTATTATTTGTTAATTAAAATTAATCAAATAAATTGCTTACAAAATTTCAACCTTCACAATTGGATCCCAGTCCTACTCTGGTCCAAAGAACATGGCCCCAGCAACCAAAAATAATTTTAAAATAATATTTCTTGTTTATTGGACAAAATGAAGAGTGGTATAATAGCATAGCAGTTTTTGTTTCTTTCTCGTAACTATCCCTATAGGCCATAGTTACTCCTTTTCTTCTCCTCTCAAAATTTTCAGAAAACCCCTTCTATACCTCAGACCTGTGAAACACTTGCTGTCTTATTTTCTCACCATTACTTTCCTCCAATTCACAAAGGTCTAAGAAATGATTAGGGAGGAAAGGACTCCTTTAAGGGCAGGAGACAGCAAAAAAAAAAAAAAAAAAACTAAATAAAGCAAAGCTAGAAATCCATCCAACAAACAGAGAAAGGAGAAAAATGAAAGGCTTGAAACATTCACACAGTCATCATTTTTAGCCCAGCAAATTTATAAATGAAATGGGAAGTGACATTGAAAGTTTCTTTTTTCTAAATAGATGGATGCAGTATAATATGATGGTTACAGTTTAAACTCTGGAGGGCTTGAGTTAGAATCCTGTTTCTACCATTAAATATTGGATTTTTCGTATGTAAAATGCAGGTAATCATTATACCTACTAATAAGGTTACTTAAAGAATTGAATTAAATAGACAATGTATATAAAGCAATTACATATCCTGTCTCATAGTAAATATAAATGTCAGGTATCATTATAATCATTATTACATAGACTTAGCATGGACAAAGTGCAGAAGGTGACTTGATTTGATGTGCCTGTGTGTGTTTTAAATTGGAGAAAATAAGGCATCATACATAGTACATGGTAAAAACCCTGAAGAGAATGAATACATTTCTCAGCCTTATGGTAAAAAGTGGCTGACCACATTTACTTATTTAGCTGACTCTTTCAATCCATATCAATATGGTAGAACTCTAAATGGTTTTACATTACTTGACATAGTTGAACTGAAACTGAAATTTGAAAGTTGAATGAAGAAAATTGATGTAGGGACTATGAGTTTCATGTGACTTAATTCATTTACAACTAAGAAAAATTTAAGAATCTGCATCAATTACAGAACATAATTAAAAGAATTTTTATTTACTGAAAAAGGCTTTGATAAATATTTCTTTGAGATAGAACAGAATGTACCACAGAAATTTCAATTTTATAATAAGACACACAGGAACTTACCTTGTAGTAAGATACCACTATTTAAATTCCCTCTATGAGTATCAAGCACTCTGCCACCTCTTTGGCAGCATTCTGGTCATAACATTGCAGTGATTTTTCCTGAAATAACTCAAAAAGCATTAAAAAGAGTTTTGCCATTTGTATTCACACGTTTATGTGAGTCTAGGATCTCAAAGCAGTGTGATGTTAAGTCAAAAAAGAAGCAGTGCTTAGATACTAAACCAGCTTGCTTCATCTCAGCCCAGCTATCCTAAACTGATAGACTCAATACATAATTTTACCATCAACTGTAAGGAAAATTAGCAATTGTTTTTATTTATGATAATTAAAACATTAAATGTTAACATAACAGTTATATTATAGAATGTAAATTCAAATTCAGTTTTAAAGTAAATTATAAGTCTTCAAAGAAACTTCTACTTTTGGAAGACCACTTTATTTTATGCCTCTAACCCTTCCTTCTTTGTCCTTGAAGTTTATGGAGAAAACTCTATAAATAAAGTAATATTTGACCTGGTGCTTGCAGAAGCATGTGAATATGTGATTCTGGCACTCTTTGGTTGGACTTGATCTGACTGAGGTTCAAGTCAATATTAAGGCTGAAGGGTGCTGGTTTTCCTGACAGACAAGTGAGCTTGTGTTCATTATAGGAGAGGAAAACATGGCTTAGATCCCTGGATAAGTTCCTTTCTTTAGTTTTTATCACCAGACCAGGAGGGTATGAGTAATACGTGTTTTGACAAAGATCTAAATATACAAGACATACATCAATTTGGAAAAGTAGTGTTGGAGGGAGTGTGAGATGTATAGCAATGTAGAAATCCCATGGCTTCTCAGCCAAAACTTAGGCAAATCACTGCAGAGATAGAGAACAAGAAAAGAAACAAACAGAACTTGAAATGTGATGATCTCATGTAGCTTTACGTAAGAATTTTCTGAAGTAATGAAAAATTGACAATATTTTCCACCCCCTTGCTAAACTGATTGTAAATTCAATGCTGGTTGGCTATTGGAATGAAGCCTTAGCTTTTATTTTCTTTCTAAAGATAAGTAGGATTTTTCCAGTCCATTTTGAGCATCTTGAACAGATAAAGAATCAACAGGTCACTATTTTATCATTTATGTTTTTTGTTAGTGATAACTGAGTGACTTTAGATAATTTGTGTGTGCCGTAAAAAAATTCATAGTTTCATAGAGTGTTATAACTGCAAGGGACTTCAAATAGCATCTAGCTCAGCAGTTCACACAACTAGTTAATGGAACAATACAGAGGAATAATATTTTGCTTTCATTTTTTATTAACTAATCATGTGTCTTTTAAGCAAATAATTTGCATCTAAGCTATAGGAACCAATACTAAATGGCACCTATAAATATTATATATTTTTATTTCTTATCGTCAATCTTTTTATCAAATAGAAACAAAATGCCCAATATTGACATAGTAGGAGAGATTTTTAAAATAATTAAATGAGACATGAGTTTTTTTATCTCATTTTTTAATGTGAAAATGAATATATTTTAATGGAAAGAACTTATATGTTCTCTCGGTATGTGCTTACATATACTATTTGAATTGTTTATATAATATATATGTCATGGAATTTGTTCTTAAGTGATAACAACGAAGCCCTGTATGTACACATTTTATGTTTATTAATTCATTCTGACATCACATACTCATTCAGTGTCTGCTCTGTGCTTATACTGTGTTAGGTTGTGCATATACTAATGAACAAAATATAAATTTCCTATCCTTAAATGACATTTTAGCATGAGTGGCAGACAATAAATAAGTAAATCCATAGTTTAAATAGTGTCAAAAAATGATAAATGCTGTGAAAAATTATTAAGTAGGGTGGTAAAAGCTCATGGTCAGATGCTACTTTATATAAGGGGGTCAAGGGAGCTCATTTTGAGGAGGTAACACTTTGAGTAATGGCTTGCATGAAAGAAGGAAGTGAAATTATTTCAGAAGAAATGATCTGAAGGAAGAACAAAGCCCCATGGTGAGAATTAGCTTGTGGTGTGAGGAATAGAATAAAGAAGGCAGAAAAGTGATAGGGGGCTGGGGTGGAGGTTGCGTGGTCTTTGGATCTTATTTTAGGTATGAGAAACCATAAGGTGGTAGAGAACAGGAAAGTAATCTAATAAATATTTTTAAAAGATTACTCTAGCTGGTGTGTGGAGCATTATCCAGGAGAGAGAAAAATGGATGATGCAGAAAAGAGGGAAATAATTGCAGGGACAAAGTCCCAAAGTAGGTGAGAGGGGATGGGACCTAGTTCAGTGGAGGGGTCAGCATTAAATAGAACACAGACTGTTAACCCACTAGAAGAGGAGGCTATGCAGAGCACATGAGTAGATTCAGATAGGTAAGTACATTTGATGGTAGGAATATGGGGATATTATCTTCTCCTTGCTTCTGTTTTCCAGTGAAGTAAGAATCTACTTAATCAGCTGAGAATAAGGAAAAGTAGAAGTGATGTTTAAGGTTTAAAGAGAGAGGAGATAATGAGAAATTGTCATCCAAAGAGTTGGAGAGTGAATCAGCTGGGTATATATACATATGTATATTGATACAGACAGTCCCTGACTTATGATAGTATGACTTAGAATTTTTCAACTTTATGATGGTGTTAAAGCAATATACATTCAATAAAAACTGTACTTTGAGTACACATACAACCATTCTGTTTTTCACTTTCAGTACAGTACTTGATAAATTACATGATACAGTCAATACTTCATTATAAAATAGGCTTTATGTTAGATGATTCTGCCCAACTTTCAGCTAATGTAAGTGTTCTGAGCAAGTTTAAGGTAGATTAGGCTAATCTATGATATTTGGTAGGTTAGATGTATTTAATGCATTTTTGATCTGTGATATTTCCAACATAAGGTAGGTTTATCAGGATATAACCCCATCATAAGTTGAGGAACATCTGTATATATCTGTAAAATGCACATGTTAAATTAGGTTATCTCTAAGGCAAAGTTGAGATTAGAGTGCCGAAGATCCTATATACTGTTTTCAAGCCCTGATGAGCTGTGTTCGTATGCATTTTATACCATTTCTGACATTTTTTTTCCTCACTGTTGATCAAGACATTGAAATAATCCACCAAACAAAATTAAAATTATTGAAGGAAAAAGTGATATTTCAGAAATGAAGATACTTAAAGGGGACAAAGTCTTTGCTTCCAAAAGTCTTTGTTTCCAGAAGCATGCTGAGAAGCTAATTGCTGTTTGGCCTCACATGATGAGCCATTTCTCACTCTCATGATATGGGGTGACTGGGGTAAAGAGAAGAAAAGGGTGATGGAGACACTGAGACCTTGCTATCAGAATGTACCACATTTATTCTGTTTTTAATGTCTGCTTATGTATTTTTTCCCATTTTTCACTGTACAGAAAAAAATCCTTTAGAAGAGCAGTAGTAATACTTGGCATGTGTTAGGGCTACAATTCAATGCCTTTCTAAGAAGCTTGACATTGAGACCTGTGGCGCCAATTTTGGTTATTCTGTTTTATAAAGTGCTGTCAGCTCAAGGAAATTAATGAGTAATACTGTAATAAGACAATCTTAAGTGGATTAATAATATAGGATTTTGGTGAGAATTTAATGTGATAATGTATGTAAAGCATGTAACGCCAGGCACATATCAAATGCTCCAAAAACTTTTTCTATCATTGTTATTATTATCATTAAATTTTTGGGTTATTGAAACATCTGGATAAATGTCATGAGGTGTATTTTATACACAAATTTATCTCTTGGAACATAGCCAGGCTGACATAGTTTATTATGGCAAGGCTTTGGATATAGACTCATACCTACATAAAATAAGACTGCTAATGAATGGGTCATATCTCGGAAGTTCTTATAAACCAATACTACAACCAACAATACAATTTACTAAATACAGATTAACTTTTTATTTGTATTTTAAAAAATCTCCTAGTGATAATTACTATGTTTTAGTCGTTTAAAATAGTTGAGCTCTATGTGGTTACATAGATGTTTAGCCAAACTGCAAAGTCTGAGGAAACTGTCTCCACAATACTGCCCTCACTTCTAACACTGGCCACAATTTCATGGGTTCTCAAGGCCACCCTCATTTCAGTTAAGCTGGCTACAAACTCAGACATTCTGAGGACCACCTTCAGGTTTAGTGATTTACTAGAATGACTCACAGAACTCAAACTCTGTATTTATGATAACAGATTTATTACAATAAAATGATAAAAATCAGAATCAGTAAAAGGGAATGACATATAAGTTGAAGTCTGGGAAGGTCCAGTCCAAAGTTTCTGGCTATTCCCTCTCCATGATGTCCTATATGGCATTACATCCTCCTTGCTATGATGTGGACCAGTACTCAAAGGATACTGTCAACCAAGGAAGCTCACCTGAGCCTTTGGTGTCCACAGTTTTTATTGGGGCTTGATCATAAACTACTCTGGTGGCTCCATCTCCTGGAGGACAGACTGAAGCTTTTACAGTCTCAAGTTGCTCTGAAGGTTAGAACTGATGTGTCATGGCTCACAGTTTCCATAACAAATCACACTGTTAGACTGTCCAGTGGCCAAAGCCCCCAGGCGAAGACGTTCCTATTAGGCAATCAATTCCAGGAAGGCTAGACATCGTCTCTCAGTAGCTGAGAGCAAAGGCAAGATTTTTCTTTGGGTAAAATTAATTCTTCCCTACCCAGTGGTTTTGTCACCAACTAGCGATACTGTTAGGTTTGTTTGTTTGTTTGTTTCTGGTTTTTGTTTGTTTGTTTTTAGGAATTAAAATTAATTTCATTTGGTTTTAGAATCAAATAAAATAGAGTTCCAAGTCTAAAAAAAAAAAGGATATTCAGAGAAGTCTAGTATCTATTTCTGATACTCTATTCTGTCACTCTTCTATAGGGTGATTTTGGGTTTATTTCATAGTTTATCTTTAAACATTTTTTAGTATAAGAAAGCATGTAAAATAATCTGCATTCCTCCATATTTTTAGGTAAATAGCAGCCCCAGTACAATTTTCTGGAAAAAGTTATTCCATTTTACAGATTTGCAATACCACTTCTGTCATATCTATTATGTCCATTATATATGTAGGTCTTTCAACACACACAATTCTGTTCCATTGGTCTATCCAACACCAGTAGTACCTTGTCCTCATTATGACAGCTTTATGATAAAACTTGATAGCTGGTAGGGAAAGTCCTCCTGACTGATTTTTCCTCAAGGATTTTTTGGCTTTCCTTGGCCCTTTGGGATATTTGTTTTAAAGTTTAGGTTCAGCTTACTGAATGTCTTAAAAAAGTGCTCTGATATTATCAACAGGACATTACATGTATATCAATTTTGTGAGAATTTACAACCTTAAAGTGTTGTCTTCAATCCATGAATATACTGTATCTGCTTATATAGTTAGAGCTTATTTAGTGGGGGTTTTTTCATAGAGCTTTATAATTTTCTCCATAATGGTCTTAACACATCTTTTGTTAAATTTGTTTCCATGCACTTCACATTTTTGGTGATTCTCCAACAGTTGGTACCCGAAATAGCAGCTTTCTTAAAATTTTGATTTCTCTTTGTGGTTAGTACATAGAAATGACATAGGTTTTAAAAATATTAATTTTTTTTTTTTTTTTTTTTTTGGAGACGGAGTCTCACTCGTCCAGGCTGGAGTGCAGTGGCACGATCTCGGCTCACTGCAACCTCTGCAGCCTGAGTTCAAGCGATTCTCTTGCCTTAGCGTCCCGAGTAGCTGGGATTATAGGCACCTGCCACCATGCCTGGCTAATTTTTGTATTTTTAGTAGAGATGGGGTTTCACCATCTTAGCCAGACTGGTCTTGAACTCCTGACCTCGTGATCCACTCACCTCAGCCTCCCAAAGTTCTGGGATTATGGGCGTGAGCCACCGCACCAGGAAAAAAAATATTAATTTCATAACCAGCAAATATGCTTAAAATTTTCTGATATATTCTAATAATTTGTTATAAAGTCTTTTATAATTACAGGGTACACAATCATATCTTTTTTTGACAATAATAATAATTATTTATTTTTAAATTCTTGTGTATTTTTTTTCTTGTTAATCTGCACTGGCTAGGACTTCAAGTTCTTGACCTGAAGATCATTCCTTTCTTGTTTTGAATAGATTTTAATATTTCATTATTTTGATTTTTGTGTGTGTGTGTAGATAAAAAAGAAATTCTCTTTTATTTCTAGGCTGCTAAAAGTTTTTTAAAGTATAAATCAAGAATAGATGTTGAATTCCCTGATTTCTTTGCCCCACTAAAAATCATGTCTTTTAATAGATTCATTAATTAATGTTAATTGATTGGTTAATTAATTGATTTGTTTTCTAGTCTTAAACCAACCTTGCTTAAGATTAGAATTATCTTCTCGTATGATAATTTTATTAAGTCATGAGGTTATTGTCTTTTTACACATTGCTGAATTTGTTTTGCTAATATTTCATTCAGGAGTTTTGCATCTTTATTTGTAACAGCCTCTAGTTTCCTTTTTTAGCTCTGTAAATATTAGGCTTTGATATCAAGGTTATGCTAGATTCATAAATGTATTGGGATCATTTTATTTTCTATTCATGGAAGATTTTTATAATATTTGTATTATTTATTTCTAGAAAGTTTCGATTTAGAGTTTTCACTGTGGGAAAATTTTTAAGGATACTGAGAAATGCTTTGTTAAAAAGACAAAAGAAAAGGTAGGCAACCTACTGTGTTCACTGTACTAATTATTCCTACATCTCAAGGATGTTGGCAATTTTAAACAATGTAAAAGTATAAAACAATGTAAAAGTGCATGGCACAGTTCCTGGCAAATGGTACGTGAATGCATGAATTATGTAAAAATGTATCAATTTTTCCTTTCTAGTAGTAGCTTTCTAAGCTTCTGTGGCACCTGTTGTGGGTTATGATCATATCCCTAATTTTTCCAGAATCTCAGAAGGACAAGGGATATTTTTTAACAGTTGTGTCTACTTCCTGCCCTGTTGATGTGCCTCACCGACAGTATATACCTTGCAATCTCAAGGTGATAGGAAATAGAGTCTCACTTCTTGTTAATGAACTGGGATCTCCTGCCTAGCTTAGGAGGGTCTGTTTCTCACCGTGCAGTAAGAAACTCTAGGTGGAGGCATGGTAGTCATCCTTCTTAGTGTCAACATAAAAGGACTGAGCAACGGAGCCTAATAGGACATATTAGTTCTAGTGGAATAAAAGCAGAGTGGGATTTTGAAACCTGGGTTTTATTTCTAGCTCCAACCCTGTGTGATTTTGGACCAAGCATTTAACTTTTGCCAGCCTTGGTTTCCCTGGGTTGAAAATGTGGGGATTGGAGTTGTTATCTAAAATTCCTTCCAGGTCTCAGACTCTGTGATTTCTCTGACTGAGTCTAAGTCTGATGTGCCACTACTTTGGCAGTTTGGGCTGACATAAGCATTCTTTTCTTTTTGCTCACCATAAGTTAACTTTTTGAGCTGTTTGGCTATTGTGACTGCTGAGTTTCACCCCAGGGAATGCAGTAGTGAATTCATGATTCCTACATAGACTGTGAATAGAAAATGATATTGCTGAAAGCAGTAAGTGGTTTTGTTGTTGGCATGAACAAAAAGTTTCACTTTTCTTCCTCCTTCTCTAACCTTCACTCTCTATTTTTCTGTTTGGCTCAGCAAAATGTTGTAAGCATCAAGCATATCTTTTGCTTTAGAAATTTGGAATGAAAGATATACTAAGGTAATAGCACTGGGGACAAATGGAAGGGGCCAACGGCTGGGAGAAGGGGTGGATTTCATCAGCGGCAGCATAGAAGTACCATTTAGAAGCAGAAAATTACAAATATTTTTATGTTGGCCTCTTTTCTGATCCCACCCTTGACAGGTCTTTGCCATTGCAGTGGGTGCTGCCACTGTCAATCTCTGTCAAATTCTCTCCATTGTACTGTGAACAGTGGAAAATTAAAAAGAGAAATGGGCATGCTATCACCTCCTCTGAACTTTAAAAAGAGAAGTATTTCCCTATTAATCAAAAGATGCTGAATATTAGAACTATCAGAGTATGTAGTATGTAGAAGTGTGTGTGTGTGTGTGTGTGTGTGTGTGTGTGTGTGTGTGTGTGAGAGAGAAAGAGAGAGAGAGAGAGACAGACAGACATTGCCCTCTGCAGAGGAGAGAGCACTGAACTGCTTGGGGGTCAGTCAGGTTTCAGGCCAGTCCTGGCTTCATGTACCCTTAAGGAAATACCTCCTTCTCTGAGGGCCTTAGAATCTTAACCATATATAATGATATTACCGAATTAGGTGATCTCCAAGCTCTGGTGGTAAGCATTTCTGATGTAATATTTTTAAACTAAAAGTTAAATAATGTGAGATGTCATCTTAATTCCAGTTGTCACTGAACACACAATCTCTGTGTTATTAACAAAATAGATATGAAAATTCTGCTCCTCCCATCCTAAAAGTTGTTTTGTGCTTTTGAGAATAAAAGTCTTTTTTTAACCCATTTTTCTGTCTGTACTCATAACATAGAGTGGGATTAAAAGGAACTGAGTAGAAATCCTAGCTCCTCTACTTTATGTGAATATGGCGAAATGACTGAACTTCTCTAGGCCTCATTTTCATCAGAGCAGAATAATCTCAGAGGTTTGCTGTTACAACTAGACAAGATAAAATATTCATTGCTTAGGAAAGGTCTTAGTTAACAGAAGTGGATAGAATAAATGGTAGTCATTATTTCTCAAATAATCAAATGTATTTTTTGTCGTAAATAATCTGAGTCTCAGGTTCATGTGACTTTCACAGAGGACCCCATGGTGACTCAGTGGTTGAGGAGGGGCCGCATCCCTGAGGTGCACTACACGTATACTAGATCCCGCTTTCCAGGTGTGGACCAAGTGTGTTATCTTCCTCACCTGGCTGTACGTTATTACCAATCTGCTGTAATTATTTGTGCGGCTTCCTTCATATCCATTAACTCTAGTTAAATGGTAGTTAATAATCCACTATCTCTGTTAAAAAAAAAATTCTCTTTTGAGTTTTATTTGGATGAAGTTTTGTTGGTTAAAATATGAAGACCTAATTTGTATCATCGTATTTAAATAAGGTAAACTAGAGATGACAGAAAATATAAATGAACATTTTAAACAATTTTAGAGCATAGGAAGGGATCAATATTTTAGCTTCTTTGTGTGTGTGTGTGTTGTGGGTGGAAGGATATGGTTATTGGCTCAGACTACAAATGTGATTAAACCTGAATGTTTGTGGTTTGGCTAAGGAAGAGAATAATAAAGGAGAGGATACCAGCTTGTCACCAAGGCTAAGCAAACTATTCACCCTGGCAAGTGACCCCTTCAGAAGACCCTTTAGTGAGCACTCGAGTGATTGGATATTAGCCTCTCATTTCTCTCGTAACAGGGGATGCTTTCATGTTTCTTTTTCAGCTGGAAAATGACTTGTTATGGCACTTGAAATTATTTCTCAACTGCAAATTTTACCACTGGAAAAATATCTAGAAAATATTATAAAACTTACCCATGGTCATAGGATTCCTGAGATTTTTGTGGTTCCTAAGATTATTATGGACTAGACTCTAGAAGTTTCAATTACATATTGATTCCTCATTTCTTAAGCCTATGGAGGCCATAAAATGTGAGGGTTACAAATACCTAAGAATATCTCAGTTCAAAGAAAAAACCCTGGAAAATTGCAAATTCTAGGATAACATACCCTTTCTTTAAAGTTGAAAATGTGTATCGTTTTTAAAATTTCAACAAGTTTAAATTGGACATTTACTTACCATTCATTAGCTTCCTGCCTGCATGTATGCATATATGTATGTATGTGTGTGTGTGTGTATGTATTCATTCCTGATTCACAAACAATGCTTTGGAATTTATAGTGTATGTAGTTTCAAATCCTGTTTGGATACATGAGGAGTATCATACATCTACTTGGCAGTCATGAATAGAACTGACACGTGAGAATTAGAAAGTGATGTAAAACACATTAGAATATGCATATAGAATAATTCAAAGAAGAGAGCTAAGAGTGTGTGCTGGATGTCGGTATAAAAGAGAAAAATTAGAATTTGATTCATATTGTGAAGAGAGAATAATGAAAGATGCATACTTTCTTACATTTAAGAGTTACTAATAACAGTCTGACTAGAATAAATGTTTTAGGTCGAAGAAAAGCAGCTATGAAATCACATTTTTGGTGATTTATATCAGAAATACAAATTCTAAATGGGAATTATTGAAGGCTAAAAAATAGAGAAAAAATGCTAAAAGTGGTATTTTAACGAAAGCTTTGTGCGGGATGATGTGCAGAAGGATTTTGGTTTTGGCTCTCTCTTTTTCTATTAGTTTTTAATTTCATCAAAATATGCATGGAAATAGTTTAACATGGCAAATATTCTACAAGGCTATGATCCTCTAGACCTCTTTCTTCTGTTCGGTTTCTTGGGAGAAAACATGTTCACACTTTTAAATTCAGATTCTTTTTGTTTACCTATCTCTAAATAACATGCTTCTATTGCTATGTTCTGATTTTTCTGACACCTATTTCCTGTCTTCCCTTTCTTCTAATGTGGCTATTTGAAACCGTTTTTTTCTCCTGAAGCTTTTCCTTGCCCTGCTGTTTTAAATTTTCAAAGGCATTATGTGGTGTGGGTGTATTTTCATACGCTGTGCTGGACACTTGGTAGACCATTTATGCCGGAATTTTATGTACTTCAGTTCTGGAAAAAAAAAATGTTGCAATCATGTCGTTGATGACTTCCTCCATGCATTTTCTTTCTCCTTGGGTCTTTTTGTTATTTGGAATTTTCCTTTAATGTTCTTATTTTTCATGCCTATTTTACATGTTTTATATTTTCTTCTGCTTTCTAGGAGATTCCTGTGGCTTTATCTTTGATCCTTCCACATTTTTTTTCCATTTATGCTCTCTTGCTTTTAATTTCCAAAAGCCTTTATTTATTCTCAAGCTTCCTTTATAGATTGCATCCTTTTGTTCTTTTGTAGCTGTAACGTCTTTTTTTTTTAAATCTATCTAGGGTATTAATGATAGTTTTAAAGTTCTCTTTTTCTGCCAGTTTTTGTTATATGTGGCCCTTTTCTGTTTGTCTTGGCCTCCTGCTTTCCCATCAGAGACTTTTCTTAAACGTTTTAGCAGCCAACTCAGATTTAAGGAGAAATACAGAATTTCAGTGGGAAGACTGAGCTGATGGGCAAGACTTATCCTCTGGGTTTTCACTTTAGGATCACCTGGCTGGGTGCCTTGTTAGGCAACAAAAATTACAGTTTCTTAAGTCTTTTGGGCTGCAAAATAGATGACTCAGTTTAATGCTTCCTGCGTGAAAATCTGGATGACCGCATTCTCAGATCCAACAAAGGCAGGGCACTCAAGCTTCAGGTATCCTGAAACGCACTGTCTTAATCTCCCCAGTTGTAGTGCAGAATGCTTACAATTCCCAGTCAATGATCATCAGCTTGTTGTCTCCAAAAAACTACAGCTTTATTCTTCTTCCAGAATTAGGAAGGGCAGTGGCGCAACTGCACAGAGTGATGGTGGGGATCTGCCCACCTTATTATTTTGTTTTATTTGGAATTTGATCCTTCCGCTGTTTTTTTTTTAATTCATGCTCTCTTGCTTATTAATTTCCAAAAACCATTATTTATTCTTAAACTTCCCTTATAGATTACATCCTTTTATTCTTGCGTAGGTGCAACATTTTTTAAATCTATCTAAAGATATTAATGATAGTTTTAAAGTTCTATTACCAAATTTCTAATCAATCTTGCCATTTCTGGCCCTGCCTTCAAGCCACTTCCAGAGGAACCTTGTGTTGTGGAATTCTGAATGTTTCAAGAGTTCTGCAATGTTAAGTAGGTTGTTCTCAGGCTTCGGTATTCCTGGCCAAAAACTCAGCTTTTTTATGTCTTCTATGTCATTTACCATTCTATTATTTTCTTTCTAGCTCTCCACATTTTGTTGCTATTGAGTTTTTTTTTTTTTTTTTTTTTTTTGAGACGGGGTCTCGCTCTGTCGCCCAGGCTGGAGTGCAGTGGCGCGATCTCAGCTCACTGGCTATTGAGTTTTAATCCAGTATCTTTGTTCTTATGGTTTATGTCTTTAAAAATCTCTTTAATTTTCATGAGGTTTGGAAAGCAATTGGTGGCAAATATTAATACTAAGTTTTTTCTACCTTTAACCAGAAGTTTCCATCAGATTTTTCCTTTATTTTACTTGTGTAGGAATACTGGAGTCAGAACAGATAAAAGAAATAATAAGTGAAGAGGATTTAGAATAGACAGGTAATGACAACAGATGTTTTCAAAGGAAGATTTAGTAGAATATGTTGACTGACTTGGATGGGATAAAGAAAAGAGTCAAGGGTGTTGCCAGGATGTTAAGTTGGTTGACTAGAATAATGATGGTGCCACTGCCAAAAAATAATAGACTAGGATTGGGAATCAGGTTTGATAAAAGATAACCCCAAAGATCATGTGTGTATTATTTTTCAAAGTAAATACTGATTCACATAAGGTGCAGATTTTTCTTCTGCTAATTTAATTTGTGTTCTATTAACATTCAGCTACAACAACCAAACCTGCTCTGGCTAGTTTAAGCAAGAAACGATTTTAATATGGGGAATTAGTAACTACACAATTTTTAGAGGTACTACAGAAGAAGACTCTATGTTGGGTGTCCAGGAGTAACTTTCAGAATAAGACTGTTGAAATGCCATGTCGAGAGAACTGCTTCCTCTCCTGTAATCATAAATATGTGTTATCAAGAGGCAATCACAGGAACCCGAGTTCAGGAACCCACTGCTGTAGGTGTGGTCCAGTGATCAGGATATTGCTGCTGCCACAAGTGTGTCTCAAACTCATAAAAGGCCAGACATACGAATGCTTCTGTAGACACAGCATCTTCATAACCTACTGGTCCTTTGTTGCTCCTTGCTTCATAGGAGCAGCAGCGAAAATAGCAGCAAAGCTATCCTTTTTAACATTTACCTTCCAAATCTTTTGCAAGTGTATATCATTAATAGAACTTAATTACACATTCAACACTCTAGCTGCAAGGGAGTCTTGGAAAAGTCATTTTTAGCTTCCCAGCCTCTAAAGTAGAGGGAGGTATGATGAAAGGATGTTGGAATGAATGCTGAGTGTGAATGCATAATATAAAGCAGAATCATACTCTTTTTTTACTTAGTGTACATAAATATTACCAAACAATAAAAAAAGAAACAACACAGTCCCACATTAATGCAATATATCCATTGTACAAGTGAATAAGTGCTTAACTTCTCCCCTAAAGAGAGACCCATGTGCCATTAATTGTGAGTCCATCTCAGCAATGTTTATTTCTTTTTTGGTTCAATCAGATGCTTACCTTGGTATTCTATAAACTAAGGACTAAATGAGAAATTTATTGTACATGCAATATAAAAAATAAGTGTGGAAAGGGAAATTTTAAATAGGTTAATATTCATAAATATAAAAAAAAGAGAGAGAGGAAGAAAAGTTAACTAATGAAGTCTATTACTGCAACCAGTTACTGAACCGTAATTGATAGCTAGAACTTCCTTCCTCTGCTATGCTTTAAATAGTCAATCTTCTCTCAACTAGTACTTCAGCTAGTTAGTTTCTTGAATGAATAAAGAGTCACTCACTGCTTCATGCTTGAGGGGATTCTTGGTCATCCTTCCAGTATGCTTCAGGCTTCTAATCAATTTTACTATTAGGCATAAAAGTGTTGGGGTATCCCTAAATAATCCCTTGCGTATAGACACAAGCTTGTCCCATTGTCTATCTTATTTCCTCTTGTTGATTAAGATAAAACTCTTCAGTCAATATAGTAACCTATTTTTTTTTGCCTGTTGTTTCAGTGAGAAGAGGAAATGAGAATGACAGTCTCAACATCCAGTTCATATTTATATCCTTCCCATGATAGAAGCATTCTTCCTTTAGTAATGAATACCTCTAAATCATAAGAGCCCAAAGTTGTAGTGATGAAAAGCAAAACTCTTGCAAGTGATTCATTAGATAGAATAGTGTGAGGAACCACACACCTACTTCTACCAGTTGGTTCCCAAATTCACGCATTCTGAGTATGGGAAAAATGACATCATATGTAGTCACAGGTTTAGAGCATATTCCATATCATATAGACATCACATAGGCCAGTGCCAAGTTTGCAAGTAGTCATTCTCCAGCTGGTACCACAATTAAGTCTTCAGGAGGCCAATTACACAATTCTTTAAGTACAGCTGCTTCCAGATGATGGGGTATGTAAAAAGACCAATGAATCCCGTAAGTGTCGATCCACTGCCTTACTGTCTTTCTGTATGTTCTGTATAATGACTTTTTGTTATAATGAAAGGATATAGGCATAAAAAATAGTACGTAAAATAAGACCATGGATGCTGAACTTGTATATGCAGATCAGGCAGGGCAGAAAAATTATTTTTGTTCTCTTCCAGTAAGGAATAACTTCTAGCCTTTCTTTGGGGTATAGATCCAATGTTATTAATTAGCAGGGACTGGTGTCATGTTGGAGGCTTAGGATTGATTTCTGCTGTTGGAAGACAAGGTGTCTATTCATTTCCAGGACAGCTTTGGGGAAGGTAAATCATTATGGTTGCGTGTGTATGTACATCAAGCCCTGCTACTGTAGCCAGCAGTTCATGGATACTTTGAACAAGCCCTCAAGCAGTTATGGGACAAAGCTGATTGGGAAAAAATTTTGATAAAATGCTTACCAAAGAGTATCTGCTCCTCTGCAGTGGATGTCCCTGGATGACAATTCATAAAACATACAAATATTCTCAATTCTGGGGCAATGCTAAGAAGCATATCCTATCTTTTTCTGAGATTCCTTTATTCTTTCATTCAATAATTTTTTTTATTTTTATTTTTGTGGGTACAAAGTAGAAGTGTATATTTGTGGGTTGCATGAGATATTTTGATTTGGGCATGTAATGTGTAATAATCACATCAGGATCAATGGAGGTATCCATCACCTCAAGCATTTATCTTTTGTGTTACAAACAATCCAATTATACTCTTTCAGTTATTTTAAAATGTACAATTAATTAGTTTTGACTATAGTCATCTCATTGTGCTAGCCAATAGTAGGTCTTATTCATTCTTTCTATCAACAAATGTTTTCGAGAGTATGTGCTATGCTAAGCATTGTTAGCACATGGGATACAGTAGGGGGCAAAATCTTGGCATTATGGTATCATCAGTGCTCCAGTCTGTTCCTTCTAGTCCTTGATCATCTGTTAGCTACTGACCAAAAATCAATATCCATCCCCACCTCTAGTCATATCTCCTTCCAGGTAAACTGAAAAAGCTGGTATGCCACTCAAATTTCTGTCCACTAGAAGATTCCCCTTTTGCAGGCCTCAGTAGAGCTTTTAGTGCTGCTGTGTACATAACCTCCTTGTGCAGAAATGAGCTAATTAGTCCAGTGGCTAACAGCCCAGTGCTGATTTGAGCACAAGGTGGAGGCTCCGGTTCCTTAAGGGGGCAGTATCACATATTTTTGTCACTTAATACAAAGGGAATCATGAAAGAATGTTCGAGTGAATTAGCACAAAATCATCAATGCTCACAAACACATGCAACCAATGGTCATTTTATACTGATGTTAGGTTTATTACTTCAATTTTACATATGAAGTGATTTGATGGAAAGAGCAATAAACTGAGTCAGATGCCTTAACTCATGGTCTTTACTTCACCAGTGATTTGCTAAGAAACTTGCTTAACACTGATCCTTTGTTTCTTCTACAAAATAAAGATTGTAACATTTGACCTATTTCTTAGGATCATAGTGAAGTTAAGTTATGAAAATGCTATAAAGTATGTTATGTAACATGTAAAAAATACGTATGTACAACTTATAGCAAAGATGATTGTCAAAATGTTGTTGCCTAAATATCTAATAGTGGGAGAAAATTAAATAAATATAAATAGATAATTATGTTTTCAGGGAATATTTAATAACGGGAAATTTCTATTAAGCAATGTTATATGAAAATCTATCCAGTAAAATTGAATTATGAGCCAAAGTATAAACAGAAGAAAAGTTACAAAATTTTAACCATATTAACAATTGTTTACAATTTTTTAAACTATTTCAAACCACAATATTTAAAACTATTTTAACAATAGCTTTTGAAGAACCATTGGGTAGAAGAATTATGGGTGAACTTTGTTTTCTTCTTATTTTCCATATATATATAGATAGATAGATACAATTTGCAAGTTGAATGTTATAGTCAGAGAAAAGTCATTTAAGATAAGATTTCAGTGCAATTTGTCCCTTTGGTAGAAGTAACAGAGTTATGAATATAGTGTCAAAGGCATACTTATACTTCACCAAAATTTGAGAAAAACTGCACATTGAGCTTATTTTTCCTCTATGTTTAGAGAGTAGATTCTCTTAATGATTAATTGCAGTGGATAGAAAGGAACAATACAACCAAGACTTCTCCCCCTATTTTCATTCTCTAGAGCTGGGTCTTTAAAGTTGCCAAGCAATAACTCTAAGAGATCAGTATTACCATATTCTTCATTTTCTGGATGAGAAAATTGAGGCACAGAGGTTCAATAACTCATCCAGATTTAAATCAAGATCACAAAGCTAGTAAGTTATATAGATGGAATTTGAATCCATGTGGCTGTATAGTCTAAGATTTTCATTGTTGTGTTGTAGGGCATGTTGCCTCTCTTCCTATCTTCAACACCCATTTCTTGAGTATTTCTTAGCTCTAGTAAATCTTAAGTAAGTCCCTGTGCTTAAATGAGTTTTGTTAATATAACCAGATAAACATAAGCAGATATGTCAAAACGCATCAGGATAAGTTAATGCAGGTATGAATGGAGTCATGGAGGAGTTAAGAGGAAGATGCTAGTTCTCTTGGGGACAAAGGGGAGGCATTAGGTAAGGCTACACAGAGGATGTGACATTTGATCTGGGTATTGAAGAAAGAGAAGCAGCTGGCTAGGCAGAAAAGGTGGACAGGGCAAAGTGCTCTACTAACACCTCAATGAAATGGCCTGTGTGTTATCTTTATATTCTCCATATTGGGCAAGGTGGCTATTACATGGTGAGTGAGCACTCAGATAACTCACATTTGTAGGAAAGACAAGACTAGAGATGGAAATCTAGGCCTAAAAAGTTTTCTGGGAGTGGAGCAGGATGATCTTACGTATTTCTTTCTGTGGCCGAGAGATGCTGATGTTGATCTATGGGCTGTGTATCCTCCCTGGATCATCTTATTCCTATAAGGCCAACAGAACATGCTGTGCCAGTTTGTAAAATCTCTCAAATGCTCTGGACTTGTAATTTTGAATTAAAGTGAAGCCTTTATTTACTCTTGGAAAAATATAATTTCCCATTTAGTCTTTTTCAAAGAAGTGAGATCACAGCTTTACAAAAACAAATTTTATCAGACATAAAAAAATAGTAAGTGAAGCACAACTCTGATGAACGAAGAAAAAAACCCCAAAGGATGTAGAGTATAATTTGTTAAACTAAAAATTAACTTAACACACTGAGGCAAGGCATTTGTCACAATTTACTTGAGGTTTTATTGAATCCATGTTTAAAATTGAAACCTTCATCAGAGTCAACACTCAGGATGGATATGTCTGTCCCAGATATTCATTGTAGCCAATGAAAGCGGGAATTACTTTCTATGCTTACTGATTACATGCTTAGAATGTGAGAGACTGCATTTACAATAACTAAAGGAAGACATAGAGATATGTTTGTTGGATATACCAAGGTTTATGAAAATCAAAAATACCATTTATGGTTTCTACACTTATATTATGTTGTCAACAGAAATATGTGAACTTGCAAATCACACATCTAAACTTGATTTTTAGTGATTCATATCTTTATATGTTAATAGCATAGTAATGCTATGGACTTAGTCCAAAAAATCAAGTGTTTCATTATGTTTTACTCTCACTACCCTGGGAAAAAGTCAGCTTACGTTAATGAGGTTTTGGAAACAAGATTATAACAGTACCTTAGAAACTATTCTCAAAGTACTGGCTAAACAACTGAGATCTTGTCTGGAGAGCATATTATAAAATTATTAAAGTGATTGCTGTAAATCATTGGGGACTGTCATAAACAATGTGGTGTATTGGGATGTTGGAACAGGGCTGAAAGCAAAAAAAAGTATCAAGGTTTCTAAGGAAGCACTGAGGTAGTACTGGCTTCAAGTGAAAGGATTAGAGGATTGGAAGAGGCCCTTGTAAAGGACTGTGATACAGTTGTGGAAACTTGCCCTAAGGAAATAGTTCAAAAGAGAGTAAAAGAAAAAATAAACTATTTTAATGTAAATGTTTCTTGTAACTTTATTTATATTAGCAAAAATATACTTTTTACTGATTGAATCTTGAGCCAGTTCATAACTCACAGCCTGCTCTATCTGACCTCAGAGTGTCCCCTGCACACCTGACACCTCAGCTAATGATGTCTAAGACTGAATAATGAATCATTAGTGAACTTGCCCCTCCCCTCTGCCACCTAAATTATTCTGTATGCATTTCTTATTCTAGGACAATGGGCTCACCATTCCCCTTGAACTTCTGTTTGAATTCCTGGAATCATGATTGATGTCATCAGTCACTTATCAGATACATTCATTGGTCTGTCTTCACAATGTTGACTCTTTTCAATTCATCCCAGTGGTGCTCTAGTTTATTTCCTCCCCACCTTTTTTCATTCTTTTATAATAGCCTAGTAACTTGCCTTCCTGCCTTCAGGATCCCTGCCGCTTACCACTTCTCCAACCTCAACTTCAACTATTCTTGACATGTTGCCACAAGTTCTTAAATTCCATCAGTATACTGATATTAAATTTGATGTCCCTGCAAGTATCATTGAGACACTGGAACAAACATCCCAGTGCGTTCTCTCATCTGCTATTCCTCCACCTAGACCTCATCTACCTTTTCTATTCTATGCCTCCATGTGTCCAGACCCTGGACCCTTGAATGCATCTGATACTGCAGCCTCATCTGCACAGCATTTCCTTAAAGGCCCATCGTTTTCTTTTTCCTATTTTCCCTTTTTTTATACAACCCTGTCAACTGTTTTCTTTCATATGTGCTAGTATTATGACAATTAATTTTGGTCTAAACCATGGCTGGTTAACTGTTCATATATCTTTGTCTTCCTTAGTAGATTGTATGCTCATTGAAGGCATGGATCTTAACATTTCTCATCTATAACTTTATGCTTACCCTTCACCCAAAGAAAAATAGGAATTTTCTGCTTATAATAGATCTGAAAGCATATTTGTTGCATTGTCAAACACAATATTTTATTAATATCTAGTTTCAGATAATTATAACTTTATATAACCTATGTAAACTAAAAGATTAATTATTCACATATATAATTAAATGAGTTAGTTGGGAGTGATGGGAGAGTGTCAGCATTTATTATGAACAAGCTATGTGCCCATCACTGATGTAGTGCTGATCTGTTGAATGGATTCAGCCAGTCATTCAAATGTTTGCATTGTGAGTTTACTATATCCTAGGCTCTGCATCAAGAGCTAGGGATAGAAAAATAAATCAGATATAGCTCTACCCTCAGTAATCTGACAGTGTGGTTACAGGGAAGGAAACTAAAAGTACCAATCTTAGTATTGTACAATAAGTAATATAGCAGAGGAAAGCAGAGGATACATGGGACACACAGGAGTGATTGAGCATGAAGGGAAAGTTTGCTCAGGGCAGACTGTTTATTCTAGGTAGGGCCAATGGAGAGAGCATCAAAACAAGATGTTGGCATTTGGGTTTTATAAGAAGTTATATAGTTCCACGAAAGACAGAGAGAGAGAGAGAGAGAGAGAGTGTGTGTGTGTGTGTGTGTGTGTGTGTGTGTGTATGTGTTGGTGGAAGTTGATGGAGTTTAGTGATGAAAGAGGCCTGAAAGAAACTAGGACTGAGCAATGGAGTTATTGATCTAAGAGTATGAATTTTGTTTAGAAGAAAATGGGAAGTCACTGAAGGTTTTAAGTGAGGAAATGACATAACTAGAATATTGAGAAAGTACATTCTATGGCCTTTGCATATATTATCTCATTTAATCCTCTTCTTACCAGATAGATGACATTTATCCCTGTTACAAAAGAGGAAAGTAAGCCATCTTTTCTTCCATTCCTTTCAGGGCTATCTATCTGTCATCATTTGACATTGATGTCTCATCATTGACATTCCATGTCACCTCCTCAAAGACAGTTTCTCTGACAAGTTAATCTAAGTATGTTTTTTCCTATGGAGTAAAAAAGAACAAGGAGTACTGAAACAAAAGAGGGGATGGGATTTTAAATAAGTTGGCCAGGATAGACCTCATTGAGAAGCTGATATTTGGGAAAATGTTAAAGATGGCAAGAGAATTCATCATAAAGATATCTTGGAGAAGAGCATTCTAGATAGTGGTATCAGCTTGTGCAAAGGCCCTGAGGCAGGATTATGTCTGGCTTATTTGAGGCACAATGAAAAGAATGGAGCTGGAGTATATTCTATCTGCTAGTAACAGAATCCCTATAGAGAACAGGCTTGCACTGAATATTTTTTGAATGAACAGATGAATAAGTACAGGTCACATACCAGGTTCTCAACTGGTTTGCTCAATCCCATACCCTTTCCTGTATGTTACTCTGACTCTTGATAATTAATTCCTAGATGAGTGAGATCATTTAAACAGAATTGGCATAGAATCTCTATGAATGGGCATCCATTAAGGATTCTGTACAAAACCATTGATCGTTTATGTGTAGATACGTGTGCCATCTCTGCAGACAAATACCCTTTCGTGTGCCTTTACAAGAAGCAACAGTGACACACAGTGGTTGATTGAGTGAATCAGACATGGTTCTCCCTCCAGATATCCCAGGAGGTACCCCAGATATTTCTTTCTTTGGAAAGTTGGTTGTCTTGTTAATTCAGACAGGTATTAACTACCCAATATATTCAGCATATCTCTCATTGTAAGCTGTCAGGCTGTGATACAACATCACATAATGTGACGTTACATGATACATAATGCCTTGAAAAAAAAAAACAAAAAACACCCAGACACTTCTTTCAGTGAAGTAGTAGGTAGGTAATCTGAATATTTGGGGTAATTGGCTCTAGGAAGAGAGAGGCGTCATTATCCCAGGCTCCCCAGTGAGCGTTAATTAACCATATTGCTTCATTGTGTGACAAAGAGAACACTGCTGGTAGTGCTAAATCTGTAATGACACCTTGGCTTTAGGAGCACAGGTATTTTAAACTACCTTGATGGACTGACATGTAGGTAATTCTATTCAGAGCCTAACAGTGAACTCAGAGGGTTGGAACTCCTCTGAGATGCAAGAGTCTGTTGTTGTGATGACTCTGAGATGTTTCCTTTCCTTTGTCCTACCCGCTCCTCGCCAACCCCAATAGTCCCTCAACTGGGGAAAGTCATCAGTATTCATGACATCAGGCCTGTGTTCTATCTGGGCTTTAAGAACAATATATTTATGTTTTTGAAGCATCAAGTTCTGCAGACAGAGATTCAGCAGCTCTTAACATTTAAGGATGGGCCATGACAGTTAGGAAGAGCTTTCTGGGGCCCTGCACGCCCCTTTAATCCTTTGTTTGCAGTTATGATAGGAAGCCTACTTGTAGAGCAGAAACATTCTTAAAGGCTGAGTTTTGTGGGACCAACATCCAACAACATTTTCATTATTTATTTTAATAATAATAATACCAAAAATAGTAGGCTGGGTGGCAATGGATAAAACACTAGCACAGTGGTACTGTTCTCTTACCTTGGGAAAGAGATAAATTGTCCTGCACATTAGAAGGTGATACTGCTTATGCTCCACATGGAGGAAATGCCTTATGATTTTTCTCTATCTTTATCCCAACTGCGACTTTACATTTTCCCTGACCACCCATGTCCTCTCACCTTGGGTGTTGGTCCTTGGAGACCAAACATGCGTATTTAGAAGACAGATGGCCAAGGCTTAACAGCCTAAAGCCAAGGGTCAGAGAAAGACTGATGGGCCTAAGATTGCCACTGTAGCCTCAGAGAACACTAGGAACTGGAACTAAAGATTCTAAAATCTGTGCTTTCTGACAGAGCTCCTGAGATGCTGATCTAAAAACATCATTTATTTTCAACTGCTGAAAGAGGATGTCTTTAAATGACTTCATTCATCTTTAATTAAATATGAACTTCTTTCTGTGAATCGTAAGGGGCTGTCCATGATCCATGGATTCAGACATTGAACTGAGTATGCAACTGAGACCGGCCTTTTCTGGGCATCGTTATAATGTGGGTGGAGTAAGGGAAGATGAAGAAACTCGAAAGAAAGCAAGAGTTATAGCATCCTATGAAGACAGGAAACTTAAATAACCAACTTCCAGCCTTGAACACATTTTTGGTGGGGGTAGCACTGGCATTTGGCAAGAATCTCTTTCTGTCTCTTTTCCATTTTTGCTCTGCTTAAAGTACTGATGACAATAAGAGTGTTTATATAGTATCTTATGTTTTAATAAATGCATTCTTATATATTAGCTCACTTGCTTCTGATTTTATCAACATAAAATATTTATTGACTCCCCTACTGCATGACAAATCATTTGCTTAATATCTTCCCACTCTTCATCAGGCTAGATTTATTCTTCTCCCCTTTACACTAACACAATTCAATGTTTTCCTGAATCAAAACAACAACAAATACAAAGTGAAGTAAAAAAAAAAAAGTTCTTATCTGCTATTATCTCTTCAATAGCTTATAAATATGAAAGCTCTGACAATATTATTTTGTGGGTGCAGTAAAGAGGATAGGAAAGATAAAAAGAGGTATTAAGAGAGAAGAGAGGGTTCCCATCCAGATGAGAAAGTTTAAGTCCTGGGTTTTATGCTAAGTGAGGGACACTTATAGTGACCTTGCGCTTTCCTCTTCTGGGGCCAGTTTTACAAAACCAACAAGAAATCTAGAATGTGACATAGTTGAAATTTCTAATTACAATTTTTTTAGGTCCCAATGATTGTAATGTTCTGTACATGTGAAAGTTAAGAATTCCACATTTCCATTTAAGAGATAATTATTGGCATGTCGTTACATGGGAATGTTACGCTAATAATACATTTTGATTGGTTGCTACAGGCAGAAGCTCCTGTCATTTATCAGAATTCCTGTTAAGCAGTCATCTTAAAGAAGTAGGTACAAAGGATATTAATTTGACTTTTTATGGAACCTTCTTAAATAGAACCTTGAATTTTCCCAAGTGAATGGGAAGACTTCAAAATCATATCAAACACAAATTTTAGTGGTGACGGCTGTTTTTATTTTATTTTATTTTTGTCAGATTGATCTTATTTTGCATAGTGAAAATAGAAATGAATTACTTATGACTAATGTGCTATTTTAGAGCTTGATGGAAATTTAGAAGCGATCTGGACTTTTTATAGTTGAAGAATCTGAAGCCCAGAAAGACAAAACAAAACTTGCTCAAACCGGTTCCATAACTAGTAGAAACAGTAAGTGAAACTAGTTCTTACTATCAGTCAAATGCTTTTCCTGATATGGCATTTAGCCATTCTCAAATCTTTACAAACTCCTATTGGCCAGACAATCTGCTGGTGGACTAAAACATCTATGATGACTTTCCTTTCCTCCTGCTGGCATCTCCTTGCATAAGGTGTTGGAGTTTCCTAACCCTCATAAACACTGTGGGTGTACCTCTCTGTGAGACACACCCTATCTCCACAGATGGGGTCTTCAGGGTGATTTTTGACCTCCCCAGCCTCTTGGGGTCCTTAATCCTGAGGCTGACTCTTGGCCTGGCTTTACATTTGTGGTCTCTGGCTTTAATCCCTGAAGCTGTGCTAGAAATAAATTTTAAGGGTAAAAAGAGAGAGCAAACTTTGTTAAAATATTTTGCTATAGCATTTACTTAGATTTGAGATTTTTTTTTCTACTTTAAGTTCTAGGGTACATGTGCACAACGTGCAGGTTTGTCACATATGTATACATGTGCCATGATGATATACTGCACCCATTAACTCGTCATTTACATTAGGTATATCTCCTAATGCTATCCCTCCCCCCTCTCCACTCCCCCCACCCCCACACATGCACACATATGTTTATTGCGGCATTATTCACAATAGCAAAGAATTGGAACCAAGCCAAATGCCCATCAATGATAGATTTGAGATTTTTATTGGGAATTAATATTTTAAATTAGGATGGAGAATAGTAAAACTGGAAAGAGAGGATAAATGGAAAAGATGGAGGAAACAGAACTAGATAATTGGAAATCCCATGTTGACAGATCTCAAATAATGTGGATTGATCAGATAAAACAATTATATCAAAGGCCAGAAAACTTACCTTATATTGCACTCAGCAATTTATAAACTTCTTTCACATTTACTGTTATTTGATCCTCACAACAGCTCTGTAGGACAGCAATAATTATAAATAGTTATAATTTATCAATAAGAAAACTACAATTCAAATATGTTTAATGGCTTGCCCACATTCACATAGCTTGTAAGTGGCAGAGACAGAACCCAAACCACAAGTCTTCTGGCTGCAGATCACATATTCTTCTAAGTATACCACTATACTTGACTGCAAAAGACTCAGATGCATTAGGGGACTCAGCTGGATGTAACTTTGTGGCCCTTACGGCAGAAGTCATAGGTTTGGTTCCTGTGCATGCTGGTAGCTATTATAGCTGAACAGAAAACTCCTATTTTCATGGAGAACAAGGTATCCGTGTATATGATGTGAACTGATTACCTTTACTAAAAAAAATGGAGGCTGCCATCTAACTGGTAGAAAACTAAACCGTCTTTGTACATGAAGAATAGTAAATGTTTATTATCATCTCTTGGGATATTTAGTTGGGATACTGCTTCAAGATTTGGATTTGCAAAACCAGCACTCTAGTCCAGGGTTTCCCAATTCCCAGGCTGCAGACTGGTGCCAGTCTGTGGCCTGTTAGGAACCCGGCTGCACAGCAGGAGGTGAGCGGTGGGAGAGCAAGGATTACTGCCTGGCCTCCACCTCCTGTCAGATCAGCACAAACCCTGTTGTGAACTGCACATGCAAGGGATCTAGGTTGAGCATTCCTTATGAGAATCTAAAGCCTGCTGATTTAAGATGAAACAGTTTCATCCCCAAACTATTCCTGCCTCCCCCCATGGAAAAATTGCCTTCCAAGAAACTGGTCCCTGGTGACAAAGTTTGAATTTATGTCCCTGCTACCAGGTAAATGCTTTAAGATATGGTTGCGGATATCATGGAAAGTATGAAGATGTACATACTCCAGAATCATATAATTTTTAATTTTTTTCCATGGACATTAGTAGCTATTATCAGCTAAAGGTCCTGTGAGAATCTGGTACAAGAAAAAAAATTCCTTCTTGACATGAATAATTTTAGGCCTCATGTATGTAGCAAGGTCATCAGGTTGAACTCCCTGGGTAGAAACACTAGCAACACTGTGATCTTCAAAAAAAAAAAACATTTTTCTCTAGAATAGTGCCCTGGAATCTTTAGACTTGATTAGTTTATTTCAAGGAAGGATTTGAGGGGAAAAAATATCTCATTTGCCTGGCAGCGTATCATTCCTGGGGGAACACATGTTTACATTTGCTGAATTAGACAACTCCACAGCAGTTATTGGAGAGCTAAAGATATATTAATATTGAAATGTAGGCAACCACATGTTGATAATGAGCCCATTTTGTGTCTTGGCTTGTGGAAAAGAATGTGAAAATGCCTTATTCTGTATTATTTTTTCCTTCTGACAGTACTGATACACTGCCGCAGGCAGTCTAAAAATAATAGCATGAGGTTAACTGACAATTGCAGGTATATTTACACTGCTATTCTGATATTAGCATGCTGCTTAAAAAATACCACTGGAGGTAATACAGTATGTATTCAAATAATTTTTTTATTAGAGATAAAAAAACTGATAGAAAAGACAAAGATCATTCTTTTAAATGATCAATAGAAATATCTGTGGTTATTTTAAAATCTGCTGCAAATAAACTAAGATTTTCTCAAAATCTTTGCCCGATGGATTAAGAGCAAGAGCAAGAGATTCCATGAGAATGGTGTCATCAAATGTGCCTCCTTACACACACACACCCACCCCTCTGCATGCGCACCCGCACAGCTGTGTGTGCACACACACACCAAACAGTTTAAGTCGTGATTTGGAAACCCCCTGAATCTCTAAGGAAGCCTCTTGTCTCTGTGGCATTGCGTCTACCTCTGACATCAATATTGATTACTTTTCTGGACCATTATATTGTTTTGTCTTTGGATTTATTTGCTTGTAGGCATCATTCTTTTATTCAAAAATTATTATTGATTAATGTGCTGAATTTTTTCACCATCAAGATCCACTTTCCACCCTCGTGTTCTTCCTGTTGACTGCATTAACGGGCTTGCTGGCCTCTACGTGGATTCAATCAATGAAAGCTACCAGCAGAATATTGGAGTGACTTTGAAGTACGTATTTCCCTGCAATCACCCCCCATAGGGCTCCAGGTCTGTTCCTCTAACAAAGGCTACCGCTCCTCTCAGGAGCCCTTTCCTAAAGCCACAGTTCCCACTAGGTTTCAGGTAAGTCTCCCATTCCCTTCCCATTGGGCAAGATGAGGTAAGGGCTTTCTGCTGTTGCCAGTCCCATATGCCTCATCTCTAGTTTTTTCTCTTAACCTTGAGTAATTATTTTATTGAACCCTCTTCAGTTACCCTGTTTGGGTATTACTTCTGTTTCCCTTGAGGACCCTGAACTGAAAAAGATGCTGTGTACAGGGACTACAATAGCCACTGGATTATAAAAGGTTGTAAAACCCAATATTCTCAAGGAACTGATCATAGACAAGGTAGAGTTACACACAGAGCAGTACAGAAACACTGACAAAGGCTATCTAAATCGAGTTCGGAGTGGTGCTAAGGAACCTTTTTTTTTGGAAGAGATGATGCTTGATGTGAAACCTTTTATTACTGAAAAATTCAAATACCTAAAAATGGAAAGAATATTGTAATAGGCTTCTCAGCTTCTACATAACCATTACTCAGTTTCAGTAATCATTAATTCCATCAGCTCAAGGCCAATTTTATTTATCTTATCCACTTCGCCGTCTCCTCCCCAGATTTATTTTGAATTTTTTTGTGGACAGCATATAATTACATGTGTATCTCCAAAATATAGGTACAGTATCACCATCTTCCAAAAAAATCAATGATTAAAGGCCCTTAATATTATTGAATACTCAGTGCTCAAAATTATCTAATTATATTATAAATGTTGTTTTTCCAGTTTATTTATCTGAATTTGGATCAGCTAAGGTCCACATATTATTATAATTGGCCTTTCCTATTCTATAGGTTCTTTTTCCATGTATAATTTTTCCTTAGAATTTCTTTGTTGGAAAACCCTGGATTATTTAACCTATAGAATTTCCCTCTGTCTGGATTTTCTTGATTGCATAACATGTTTATCTCTATTTTCTATAACTTGATTGTAAGAACTAGAGCTTAATCTGACCCAGGTTCAACTTTGGTTTTGGTGGGAGGCAAGATTACTTCATAGGTTGGCAGTATGTACTTTTGTCAGAAAAAGTATAATTGGTTGCTTCTCATGTTTTTGATGTTAAGAGCCATTGATAATCATTGCCCTAGAGCAATGGTTTTCAAACTTCAGTGTTCATCAACATCACTTGGAAGACTTATTAAACCCCAAACTGCTGGGCTCTACCCCAAATCTTCTGATTCAGCAGGTCTGAGGTAAGACAGAGAACTTACATTCCTTACAACTGCCCAGTTGATGTTAGAGCTCTACTGGCCCAGTGACCAGATTTTTAGAGTTGCTCCAGTTAGCTTATCGATTCATTAAGGACCATCTCAAACATTTCGCATTCCAATCCCAGACCTGCAATCAGCAATTTATGCACGGATCCCTGTTTCTTCATAGTAAGATGTCTAGTTTAGAACCCGTATTCTGAAGACCAAAGACACTAATTTCAGCTGGGATGTACATTGTTTTGAGACATTGTGGATGGTTGAGTTGGGAAATATTTTTCAAAGAAAAACAAATCGTGACTTTGTATTGACAGTTCCAATCAAAATTCAAGACTACAGTTCAAGACTACTTAACCTTATTATGTGTTACAATAGTGTTTCTTTCTTTCACTTGAAAGATCCGTGCTTTCAATAACACCAGCATAATTCTCATTTGTTTATCCCATAGTAATCACACAACAACCTAAGAATAACACTACCAACATGTCCACTAACTATATGCTTTCTCAAAATAGTCTGATCGTAGTGGGTGTTTTTGTTTGCTTGTTCTCTTTTATTCTACTTTTAATCCTTAGGGCATGTCCTCAGAATGTGCAATTAAATTACCATGTTTTAAATTCACTTGAATTAGTTCCTTTCTGTATAGTTATGCCCGCACTGTTTATACAGTTGGGTCATTTTTATACTTTTATTTTTAATTTTTAGAGATTGTATTTTATAAATTAAGCTTGCTTTGAAATTATGAAAAATATTTACAAGGGTCCAAAATTAAATTGTGTTTTATTTATTTATTTATTATTAAAGACAGTATCTTGCTCTGTCACTTAGACTGGAGGGCAGTGGCATGAGGATAGATCACAGCAGTGTTGAACTCCTGGTCTCGAGTGATCCTCCCTCCTTGGCCTCACAAAGCACTGGGATTACAAGGCACGAACCCTTACGACCACCCCAGAATCAAAGTTTTGAAGCAAGTTATAATAAACGAAGCTTAGCTTTCATTTCTGGTTATTTCACTCTAATTCTTCTCTTTCCCCACAAGTAAATTTAAAAGTTTTGAAAATATCTTCTGGCATTTAGGAAGGTTTGCATTTTTTGTTTTAATAATTACTTTTATATTTATTTTAATAAATCCTTTGTAATAGTAATTTCCATTCCTCCCTTTCTGGCTATTGACTATTGTTTCCTACTATGAGCACTAATGCAACCAACTAGTGACCTGTTTCTCTTTCTTTCTTCTCTCGAATCCAGCATTTGTTGATGTAATATCCTTGTAGACCTAATGAATACATATGAAATAATAAATGAGTTTATTGTACTTATCTATATTTGATTCTTGTATTATAGCTACATTATTAGGGCACACAGACATTTTATTGTTATAATCATCAGCCTTGATTCTATAGAAAAAATATATTTAGTGCTACCTCTTGTACTTATGTCAAAGCCTCTTAAGTCATTTTCATTGTATGAAGCTCATTCTCTAATAGATTATTCAGAGAAGGTTTAAGGGAATAATATCCCCTCAATAAACACACACACACACACGCACACACATATGCATGTATATATCTCCAGTCAGTTAGTAGAATATTTCTTAATGTTGGCATTATAGATTTAATTCCCAGCTAAATGGTATACCCTTTCAGTGTTTAGTTTTAAGACTTTTTATTATTGTAAAAGATTTTCCTGAGTTATAGTTTTAATATTTATTCTGTCCATTGCTTTAGTTTTCCTCTTCAGAGACTACTAGTATATTTATGTTGAATCTCTTGCTTTTCTTCTGTATTCATCACTTACTCTCAAATGCTTTTTAGTAGTCTTTCAAAATTCTATTATCTATAAAACTTCCTCTTTTCCATATCCTATTTCTCTTAAGGCATATTTTGTTGTGTTTATTTACTTTTGTGTTTTTTCCTAACTTTAGAGGTAGTTATTTTTTCTTTTATTTCTAATTCTTTCCTGAATTCTTTTACCTCTCTTTTTAAATCCTTTTCTTAATCATCTCACTTCTGAGTTTTTAAATTCTGATATATTAGATTCTGATATATGTTGTTCTTTATAGATTCTAGAATTCTCTTATTTTTAGCTCATTTTGAAACATTAGGTTCTTCATCTGTTTTGTGGGCATAATTTTCTGGTGTGCTTTCCTTATTTGAGAGATTTTTTTTCACTATTTTATTTTTTATACTAATTTTATGTAAGATCCTGTGGCATTCTTTTGCTGCTCTTCATTGTTAAGTAAAATGACTTTTTATGTACTTTTAGAAGAGAAGATAGATCAAAATAGCTACCTCTTAGATCCTCCTCCTCTGCTACTCTTCTCAGTTTTATCTTCACCTTGTTTTTCCTTACTCTTATAGTCCCTGTTCTGCTCTCTGTGGCTTAGAATACCAGCAGTTTCTCCTTAGGGCTAAGCTCTGTAATGTAAGGGTTGATTTGTCTGTCACTTTTGAGAGTTTATAGACCCCAGACCCCAAAACTCTCTGGGACCATCAGATCATTCTTTAGGCCACTTGTATTTGCCCTCATTACTCTCAAAGTGGAACTTTCAAAATCCTCTCCCATTGTCTCCTGTTGTTCTCAGAAAAGCCCACTGTGCTTTCTAGGGGTGCCTGATAGTTGGGAGTTTCCAGCTCTCAGGGTCATCAGCAGTCCCTTTGTCTTTCCTCTGATTTCAGCCATACTGTTTTGATACCATATAGGTCTTGTAGTTTTTCCTAACTTAGCCCCACCAAATTATATTTTAGAGTTACATTTGTGATCTAGACTTATTGCAGATGTAGTCTATGAGGTCTTGTTTTTCCTACTGTAGTTCCTCTGAGTATCTTAATAGGAGGATTCAGGGAGCTTTCAGGTATTCCAGAACACTTCTTGAACTGATTCTTGGCAAGTTGGCTGGGTGTGTAGGAGGGAGGTCTAGGAAGGAGAGCAAAGAAGGGAAAGGGGAGAGTTTCTGAATAAAAATAGAACATGAGAAGGCAGGAAGGTGTAAAACACCGTGATGCAATAGTAGAGCTGTATTCTGGTTCAGTACCAGTAAAAGGTTTGTGTGAGGTAATGGAAGGAATGAATTACTGAGACAGAGGGGGTGTGACCACAATGAGCTATCTGTGCTAACCTGGGAAGCCTGAACTTTAACACTATAGGGAGCTGTTGAAAGGAGGCAAAGCAAAGTGACATTAGATTAATAATTTGGAAAAGTTTCCTTGGCAGCAGTGTAGAGAATGGCCTTGAAGTAGTCCTGGGGCTAAACAGGAATCCTCTCTCCTGCCCATGTTAGGAAACTGGTAAAGTGAGAAGGGATGGGGACTAAACCAAAGCAGTGGTGGATGAAAAAGAATTGCTGTTTGTTATGTTAAATCTATAGGGTGTGGTAAATTGTTGGATATGAAAGGACAAGTTTGGATGTGCAGGATAAACCTAAAATGAGTCTTAAACTTCTGGGCAATATCTTGGTTCCTAAAATACTCACCATTCTACTTCTTGCATCTCTTATTCTTGTAGGGTTGTTCTGATACTTCTGAAAATGGTAATTTTGGAGATGTTTGTTTTTCTGATTTTTACCCGGTGAGCTTAGTGATAGAAAGCGTTCTGTGTATGACTTATTTCAAACTTTTATAAAATAGTCTGTAATCTACAAAGTAATACAAAGAAGACACAGGATTATTTTTCCTTAACACATGCCTGAGCTGGTTATCTCCCTTTCGGAATTTGGTGGCAATATTTATATTTATATTAGCATTCCAGTTTTCTTCTTTGAGACAAGGGGAAAATAGGATAGAAGAAGAAAGAGTCAGGAAGTTGATAAGGTTATTCCAAACTAGATTGTGACATCACAGAAACTAGGTAATTAAAGGAGGGCACAGGAAAACAACTGGAACTGTACTTCTATCCCTTTGATGCATCTCAGGAAAAATTCCACAGACCTGCTACTTTTTTTTTTCTTTTTTTTGAGACAGAGTCTCGCTCTGTCCCCCAGGCTGGAGTGCAGTGGCAGGATTTTGGCTCACTGCAAGCTCCGTCTCCTGGGTTCACACCATTCTCCTGCCTCAGCCTCCCCAGTAGCTGGGACTACAGGCGCCCGCCACTATGCCCGGCTAATTTTTTGTATTTTTAGTAGAGACGGGGTTTCACCATGTTAGCCAGGATGGTCTCCATCTGCTGACCTCGTGATCTGCCCATCTGGGCCTCCCAAAGTGCTGGGATTACAGGTGTGAGCCACTGCGCCCGGCCAGACCTGCTACTTAAAGTATGGTCTGAGGCAGCAGCAAGGACATCTCCAGGAAGCTTGTTGAAAATGCAGACTCTCAGGTCCCACCTCAGACCTACTGAATCAATATCTACATTTAAAAAAGATCTCCAGGTGATTTATTTGAACATTAAAATTTAACATCACTGCTCTAGACCATGTGAGGAAGTAAACTTTTTGTTAGTCTACCTTAACTCTCTGAAAATAGCAAGAGTCTTTATTACAGCGAAGCATTCATTTAGTGAATATTCTTCAGGAATTGGAAGAGCGAATGTAAGGAGGGTGTATAAAAGAGCAGTTTAGGATTTGTGTTCAGTAGGGAATCAGTTTACTTAGGTTCAACATCTGGCTTCACAACTAATTTGTTATGTGACTATGGAAAAGATACTTAATCTTTCTACACATTGGTATCCTCACTTAGAAATTTAATTAAGAGTGCTTACTTCCTAAGATTGTTGTGAGGATCAAATGAAATAGTATGTAAAAAGTGGTTAGCACAGTTGCTGGTGCACAAGAAATGTGTCATTATCTATCGTTATTAAAAACGTAATAGTATTAAAATGTCTTACATCTTGGATGTGTATAATACTTTTATTAGAATTAACGATGCTGTGCAGGGACCTCATTTTTGTTCAAATATACAACACTGTCAGTGAATATAGCACTTTACATACACCTGAAAATGCTTCTCAGAGAAAGGTAAATCTTCAATATGATGGTTCTATGTATTTGTATTATATGATTTCCTGGAAAAGGTGAAATATCAACATTAGAACCTACAAATTTTTAAAACCTGTCTAGGTGAGCTAAACAAAAAGCAGTATTTACTTTTTTTAAAAAAGAATCTTGAACTTCAGAAAGCTTGAGTCAGTCTTCACGTTTCTATTCACTCTGTTTTATATGTTTTTGGTATCTACATTCTGATAAAATCTTGATGAAATTTTACTTTAGATGCTTCATGATTCAGCCATTGTTAACGTCTTGAGACATTCTGAGCCAATCATGTCAGAAATCAGCAACAACCATACAAAACATTGCATCTAACCACAAACTAATGAACAAAGGCAGAACACTAGACACAAACCCTTAAGCTTTTATATGCTTCGGGAACCTACCTGATTTATTCCGTTTTCACCCAAACATTTTAAAAGCCATGTTAATCCCTAGCAAACATTTTTATCTAGAGAGGCCCATACTATGGAGGGTAGAATGAGGTTGGAGAAATAAGCCCCAGATTGTATTTATTTCTTATTACAGAGCTCAGCATTTTTATGTTCTCTCATCAACAAAAAGACTCCCCCCTACACACCCTTGGTGTTTTCTATTTATGTTCACCTGCTACTCAATTAGCACCCCATCAAAACCCTCGCTTGCAGGGGGTTTATTGCAGAACACTGCACTGCAGCCCTTAACCCTCTATCTCACCTACATTACACATAGAGCTAAAAAACAGTCCCCTGACTGTGCTTAGAAAGCATGTCTTTTTATTTGGTGTTTGCGTAAGGTTTTCCTTGTGTGCATTACCCTGAGTGTTCATAAAGTTATAACTGTATCTACATGTGTTTGACATTTATTACCTTCCATAGGACTATAAAGCACACTTTTCTCTTTTAACGGCATCTGCTGACATGGTGCATAAAATAAACTTTAAATATTATCTATAAATTAATTAGCATTTTCTCTCTATTAGGAAAAGCAGATGAAGACTTACTAACACTGTTTTAGTATACTTAGAGGTTTTAAGTGGATTCTGTGCAAAACACAATGGTATTATTCTTATCTAGTTTTATTTTTTATTTTGCTATATTTATGTATTTGTGTGAGCCATGCAATCTATTTTCATTTGTAGAATAAGGAAATATAGTAAAGTTTCAGAAAGAAAACTAACACCTTCCCCTTTAAAATTATTTCACTGGTTTCATAAACTCTATTACTATTTTATTTTTCTTAAATGTGTAAATAACTATTATTTAAATTTTGATTTGTAAATATGTCTTTTAATTTAAATAAGTATTTCCTATATACAGTACTTTATATCAATGTATTTTTATACAAAATTTGGTATTGGGCTTATAATTTTTGTGTTGTTTTTTATCCTATCTTTATTACTTAATATTGCATAATTATCATGTCCCATGTTATCATATACTCTTAATTTTGATTTTTAATACTATCTACAGTCATTTATCTTATGAAGATGCCATTATTTTATTATTTAGATGAGTTCAAAATTTTGCTGTTATAAATGACATTCAGCTGAACATCTTTCTATGAAAATTATGTCGGCATTTCTGATTATTTCTTCAAGTGAAATTCCTAGAAGTGGAAACACTGTTTAAAGCTTCTGAACAGCAAAGGAAATAATCAACAAGATGAAACAGCAGGATATATGGTAGCAGGAAATATTTGCAAATCATGCATCTAGTAAGGAATTAATATCCAATATTTATAAAGAACCTATACAATTCTATAGTGGAAAAGCAAATAATCGAACTAAAAAAATGGCAAAAGGTCTAAGTAGACATTTCTCCAAAGAAGATGTAAAAATGGCCAACAGGTGTATGAAGAGATGCTCAACGTCATTGATCATCAGTGAAATGCAAATCAAAACCACTGTGAGATACCAACTTACACCTGTTAGGATGGCTATTATCAAAAAGTCAAAAGATAACAAATGTTAGCAGGGATGTGGAGAAGAGGGAACTCTTGTACATTGTTGATGGAACTGTAAATTGGTACAGTCATTATGAAAACAGTATTTCCATACTGTTTCTAAAGAAATTAAAAAGAAACTAAAACTAGAATTATGACCTAGCAATCCCTCTTCTGGGCATATATCCAGAGGAAATAAAATCACCACCCTGTAAAGATACCTGCACTCCATGTTCATTGCAGCATTATTCACAACAGCTAAGATATGGAAATGACCTAAGTGTCCATAGACAAATTAATGAATAAAGAAACTGTGGTGCATATACACAATGGAATATTATTCAGCTTTAAAAAAGAACAAATTTTTTTCCATTTCCCACAAAGTGAATGAGCCTGGAGGATATTTTGCTGAGTGAAATAAGCCGTACATAGAAAAACATATTGCATGATGTCACTTACACATGAAATCTAATAATAATAAATCATATACAGAGATGGAGAACAAAACAGTGGTTAACAGAGGCATGACGGTGGGAGGTAGGGAGATGAGGATATGTAGGTCAGAAAATACAAAGCAACAGATAGTAGGATGAACAAGCCGAGACATCTAATGTACAACATGATAACTATAGATAATAAAGATATGTGGATGGGATTCATGCAAAATGAGTAGGTTTTTGGCAATTCTTGCTACTAAAAAAAATGGGTAACTATGTGAGACAATGGATGTTAATTTGTTTCACTATAGTAACCTTTTTACTATCTATATGTATCCCATAACTTCATGTTGTATACTTTAAATATGTACAAAAAATTATCTTAAAAAGTTTTAAAGATTTCAAAGACTCTTAAATCCCTTTACTAGAAGGCTTTCCTGAAAGGTTGTAAAATTTTGTATGTCCACATTGTGCCCTAATCAAGTTTGGATATTTTTTAATCATGCTCAACTTAATAGTTGATTATTGCTGTTAAGTAGCCATTTATTTAATTAGTATTTAGATTGAACATATAAAACTATTGCTATGTTGTGTCATCATTAATCTTCATAGAACATACTGATAAAGTTCCTGAGCTCTAAAGATAGATGAATTTTAGTTCAAATCCAGACTTAATCACTGGTTTGGGAAAAGGTAAGTTTCATGTCTAAAGCTCAGTTTCATCAAATGTAAATGATGATGATATTAGCATTTATTTTACAGAACTGATGTGAGGATTTACAAAAAAAGCATTATTGTACATAGCTTGGTACTTGACATCCTCAATATATATTAAATGCCTAGTACATATTAAATGTATTCTTATCTGAATTTGGTTTTCATTACTTCCATCTACTTTTTTAAACTGATAGTTAATATAAAAAAGCTCTTCAAAACTAGTAGAAAAGATAGTATTTTCTATCATTGGCTACTATATAATTGATTTTGCCATATTTTGACCTAAAATTAGATTATAATTTTTATTTCAGCCGTATCTCCATCACTCAGAACAATGTCTGGAAAATAGGGAGCATGGAATAGACACTTTTTGAATGAATGTATTCTTTTTCAAAATTTTCTTGGCTATTTTTGAACATTTCTCTGTAAGTAAATCTTAGAAACAATTTAAGAAATTCTCTAAAACATTCTGTTGGAATTCTAATTGCAAAAGCATTGGATTTATTTGGGGAGGGGGGAACTGAAATATTTATAAAATTAGATGTTCTCATCCAGAATCATGGCACTTCTTTCCATTTAGTAGGGTCTTCTTTTAAGTTATTTTATAAAGTTTTATACTTACCATTATGTGGTACTTGACCATTTCTTGCTAGGTTCATGTGAGGTTTATTGTATTGGTTGTTGTTTTATTCAGTGAATTAGGTTTTTAAAAATTTTTGATTACATTTTCTAATTGGTTATTGTTCTAAAGAGAACTATTGAGTTTTTATATGCAGATATTTTATTAATCCAATGTACTGATTCTAGTCCTTCTAGTTGTAGTAGTTGTTCAGTTAATTCTCTTAGCTATTCACATCATTTACCAAAGATGCTTGTTTTCTCTTCTTTTTCTATATCTATTATTTATATTATTATCAGATCCTTTTGGCTGCAATTGCAAGAATAATACTGAAGAGTACTGGTAATAGCAGAATTCCTTGCACTAAAATCTGACTTTAATGAGAAGGCTTTTAATTCACAATTAAGTGTACTACTTGCCGTGAGTTTCTGCATAATTTCTGCATAATATTCTAACATTTAAAGGCAAATTCTTTTTAAGTCTACCTTGATAAGAGCTTTTTGTCATAAATAGATGTTCAATTCTATCAAGTTTTTTCACCATCTATTAATATGATTATTTTTTTTTTGCCTTTAAACAGTAACCTATTCAAATGCATCACAAGATTTTTAAATACTTAGCCAATCTTGTATTTCAAAAGATAAACTATTCTGGGCTATCATGTATTCTTTTTACTACAATTAGTTAAATTCAACTCATTAACATGTAATTTAGGAATTTTACATCTGTCAAGTGAAACTGACCAATAGGTGGTCATTTTCTTGTGATGTCCTTTTCTGATGTCCTAAAGAAGTTTACTGACTATACTCAATTTACACCACAGTTAAAGGAACTCAAAGACTGCATTAGTTCCATAGCAAGGGTTGTTTACCAGGCTGAGTTGGCTGAAATGACAGAAATAGAATTCAGAATATGCAGAGAAACAAACATCATTGAGATTAAGGAGATCATCAAAAACCAATCCAAGGAATACAAGGATCACAAAAAAGATACAGGTGCTGATAGATGAAATAGGCAGCATTAAAAAGGATGAAATTGACCTGATAGAGCTGAAAAATACACTACAAGAATTTCGTAATGAATCTCAAATATTAACAGCAAAATAGACCAAGCTGAGGAAAGAATTGCAGAGCTTGAAGACCAGTTCTCTAAAATAAGACAGACAAAAAGAAAGAAAAAAGATGAAGAGGAATAAATGAAACCTCTGAGAAATATGGAATTACGTAAAGACATCAAATCTGCAACTCATTGGTGTCCCTGAAAGAGACAGGTAGAAAGCAAACAACTTAGAAAATATATTTCAGGATATCATCCATGAAAACATTCCCAGTCTTGCTAGAGAGGCCAACATTCAAACTCAGGAAATCCAGAGAACTCCTGCATGATACTAAACAATAAGATCATCCCCAAGACAATAATCATCAGATTCTCCAAGGGTGAAATGAAATAAAAAATGTCAAAGAACATTTAACAGCTAGAGAGAAAGGACAGGTCACATACAAAGGGAATCCCATGAAGACCTTTTCCCTGTAGCAGAAACCCTACAAGCTGGAAGAGACTATGGGCCAATATTCAACATTCTTAAATAAAAGAATTTTCAATCTAGAATTTCATATCCAGCCAAATTAAGATTCATAAAGGAAAAAGAAATAAGATTCTTTCCAGACAAATGCTAACGGAATTCATTACCACCAGATCTGCCTTCAAAGAGCTCCTGAAAGGAGCACTAAATATAGGAATAAATGACCATTACCAGCCACTACAAAAAAACTTAAGTACACAGATCAGTGGCACTATAAAGCAGCCACACAATTATAATATTGCATAATAACCAGCTAACAACATGATGACAGGATCAAATCCCATTTCAATACTAAATTTGAATGTAAATGGGTTAAATGCTCCAATTAAAAGTCACACAGTGGCAACTGGATAAAGAAGCAGGGCTAAATGTTGTGCTGTCTTCAAGAGACCCACCTCACATGCAGTAACATCTATAGGCTCAAAATAAAAGGATAAACAAAAATCTACCAAGCAAATGGGAAACAGAAAAAAGCAGGGATTGCAATCCTAATTTCAGACAAAACAGACCTTAAACCAACAAAGAGCAAAAAGGACAAAGAAGGGCATTCATATTAAAGGGTTCAATTTGACAAGAAGACCTAACTATGCTAAATATATATTCACCCAACACAGGAGGACCCAGATTCATATAGCAAGTTCTTAGAGATCTACAAAGAAACTTAGGTTCCCACACAATAATAGTGAAAAACTTCAGCACCTCACTGAGTATTAGATCATTAAGGCAGAAAATTAACAAAGATATTTAGAACCTGAACTCAACACTTGATCAAATGGACCTAAAAGATATCTTCAGAACTCTCCATCCAAAAATAACAGAATATACATTCTTCTCATTACCACATGTCATATACTCTAAAATTGACCACACAATTGGACACGAAACAATCCTCAGCAAATTAAAAAAATCATACCAACAACACTCTTGGACCACAATGCAATACAAATATAAAATGTGAAGAAAATTACTCAAAACCATACAATTACATGGAAATTAAACAATATGCTTCTAAAGGACTTTCGGGTGAATAATGAAATTGATGCAGAAATCAATAATTTCTTTGAAATTAATGAGAACAAAGATACAACATACCAGAATCTCTAGGACACAGCTAAGGCAGTTTTAAGAGGGAAATTTATAGCACTAAAACATCAACATCAAAAAGTTAGAAATCTCTTAAATTAGCAATGTAACATCACAACTAGAAAAACTAGAGAAGAGAAAACCAAATTCCAAAGTTAGCAGAACACAAGAAGTAATCAAAATCAGTGCTGAACTGAAGGAGATTAATACATGGAAAACCATATGAAAGATCAACGAATCCAGGAGTTGGTTCTTTGAAAAAATTATTAAGATAGACCACTAGCTAGGCTGAAAAAGAAGGAAAGAGAGAAGATCCAAATAAACACAATTAGAAATGACAAAGGGGATATTACCACTGACTCCACAGAAGTACAAATTACCATCGGAGACTACTTTGAACACCTCTATGCACACAAACTAGAAAATCTGGAAGCGATGGGTAAATTCCTGGATGAATGCATCCTCCTAAGACTAAACCAGGAAGATTCTCAGACAGATTCATTGACAAATTCTACCAGATGTACAAAGAAGAGTTGGTACCATTCCTATTGAAACTATTTCAAAAAAATGAGGAGGAGGGACTCCTCCCCAGCTTATTCTATGAGGCCAGCATTATCCTGATATCAAAACCTGGTATAGAGACACAACAAAAAATGAAAACTTCAGGCCAATATCCTTGATGCAAAAGTCCTTGGTGCATAAGTCCTCAACAAAATACTAGCAAACCAAATCCAGCAGCACATCAAAAAGCTAATCGACTACAATCAAGCAGGCTTTATCTCTGAAATGCAAGATTGGTTCAACAAATGCAAATCAATAAATGCGATTCATCATATAAACAGAACTGAGTTCAAAAAACCACATGATTATCTTAATAGGTACAGAAAATGCTTTCAATAATATTCAACATGGCTTTATGTTAAGAACTCTCAATAAACTAGGCATTGAAGGAACAAACTTCAAAACAATAAGAGCCATCTATGACAAACTCACAGCCAACAGCATAGTGAATGGGAAAAAGCTGGAAATAGGCCCCAAGACAAGGATGCTCTTTCTCCTCACTTCTATTCAACATAGTTTTGGAAGTTCTGGCCAGAGAACTCAGGCAAGAAAAAAATAATAAAGAACATCCAAATAGAAAGAGAGGAAGTCAAACTATTCCTGTTTGCAGATGGTAAGCTTCTATGTCTAGAAAACTCTGTAGTCTCTGCACAAAAGCTCCTTAAGGTAATAAACAACTTCAGCAAAGTTTCAGGATACAAAATCCATGTACAAAAATGAGTAGCATTTCTACCAACAATATCTAAGCCAAAAGCCAAATCAGAAACAGAATCCCATTCACAGTTGCCTCAGAAAGAATAAAATAACTACAAATACAGCTTACCATGGAGGTGAAAGATCTCTACCCAGAGAATCACAAAACACTGCTCAAAGAAATCAAAGATGACCACAAACAAATGGAAAACATTTTATGCTCATGGATAAGAGGTAATTAATATTATTAAAATGGCCACACTACCTGCCCAAAGATTATTACAGATTAAATGCTATTCCTATCAAACTTTCAATATTATTCTGTACAGAACTAGAAAAAAAATCATTCCAAAATTCATACGGAAACAAATAAAAGCCCAAATAGCCAGGACAATCCTACACAAAAAGAATGAAGCTGGAGACATCATGTTACCTGACTTCAAATTACACTACAGGGCTGCAGTAACCAAAACAGTATGCTACTGGAACAAAAACAGACACATAGAACAATGGAGGAGAATAGAGAGCCCAGAAATAATGCTGCACACCTCCAACTATCTGATCTTTGACACAGCTTACAAAAACAACTAGTGGGAAAGGATTCTGTATTTAATAAATAATGCTGGGATAACTGGTTAGCCATATGCAGAAGATTGAAACTGGGACCCTTCTTTACACTATATTAAAAAAAACAACTCAAGTTGGATTAAAGACTTAAATGTAAAACCCAAAAGTATGAAAACCCTGGAATATAACCTAGGAAAAATCATTCTGGATATAGGAACTGGCAAAGATTTCAAAGATGCCAAAAGCAATTCCAACAAAAGCAAAAATTGACAAATGAGACCTAATTAAACCAAAGAGTTCTGACAGCAAAAGAAACTACCAACAGAGTAAACAGACAACCTACAGAAAAGGAGAACGTATTTGCAAACTATGCTTCTGACAAAGAACTAATATTCAGAATCTATAAGGAACTTACATTACAAGCAAAAAAAAAAAAAAACCATTCAAAAGTGGGCAAAGGACATGAACAGACACTTTTCAAAACAATATATACATGCAGCCAACACACATATGAAAAAATGATCAACATCATTAATCATTAGAGAAATGCAAGTCAAAAACATAATTAGATGCCATCTTACACAGTCAAAATGGCTGTTATTTAAAACATCAAACAATAACAAATGCTGGCAGGCCGGGTGTGGCGGCTCACGCCTGTAATCCCAGCACTTTGGGGATCACGAGGTCAGGAGATCAAGACCATCCTGGCCAACATGGTGAAACCCCGTCTCTACTAAAAATACAAAAATTGGCCAGGCATGGTGGCTTACGCCTGTAGTCCGAGCTATTCAGGAGGCTGAGGCAGGACAATTGCTTGAATCTGGGAGGTGGAGGTTGCAGTGAGCTGAGATCACACCACTGCAGTCCAGCATCGGTGACAGAGCAAAATTCTGTCTCAAAAAAAAAAAAAAAAAAACAGATGCTGACAAGGTTGTGGAGAAAAGGGAATTCCTATACACTGCTGATGGGAGTGCAAATTAGTTCAGCCATTGTGGAAAGCAGTGTAGTCATTCCTGAAGGAACTAAAAGTAGAATTACCATTTGACCCAGCAGTCCCAATATTGGGTATAAACCCAAAGGAATATAAATTATTCTACCATGAGGACACATGCACACATATACTTATTGTAGCACTATTCACAATAACAAACACATGGAATCAATCTAAATGTCCATAAATGGTAGACTGGATAAAGAAAATGTGATACATATACATAATGGAATCTTATGCAGCCATAAGAAAGAATGACATCATGTCCTTTGCAGCAACATGGATGGAGCTGGAGGCCATTATCTTTAACAAACCAATGCTAGAACAGAAAACCAGATACTGCATGTTCTCACTTATAAGTGGGAGCTAAATAATGAGAACATATGGACACAAAGAGGGGAACAACAAACACTCGGGCCTACTAGAGGGTGGAAGGTGGGAGGAAGGAAAGGCTTTTTTAAAATGACTATTGTGTACTATGCTTATACCTGGGTGACAGAATAATCTGTACTCCAAACACCCATGACACGAGTTTACCTGTGTAACAAGCCTGCACGTGTACCTGTAAACGTAAAATGAAAGTTAGAATAAAAATAAAAAGCAACACCCCCCTGCAACCAACAAGTTAAGCTTTATTAAATAGCAAAAAAAAAAAAAAAAAAAAAAATAGGCCTGGCGCAGTGGCTCACGCCTCTAATCCCAGCAGTCTGGGAGGCCGACTCTGGTGGATCACGAGGTCAGCAGCCTGACCAATATGGTGAAACCCTGTCTCTACTAAAAATACAAAAATTAGCTGGGCGTGGTGGTGGGTGCCTGTAGTCCCAGCTGCTCAGGAGGCTGAGGCAGGAGAATCGCTTGAACCCAGGAGGCGGAGGTTGCAGTGAGCCGAGATCGTGCCATTGCACTCCAGCCTGGGTGACAGAGCGAGACTCCATCTCAAAAAAAAAAAAAAAAAAAATCCCATTGTAAATGGCTAGCTGGGAGTTCTTTTCTCTTGGCTCACTGCAAGCTCTGCCTCCTGGGTTCACGCCATTCTCCTGCCTCAGCCTCCCGAGTAGCTGGGACTACAGGTGCCCGCCACCATGCCTGACTAATTTTTTTTTTTTTTTTTTTGAGACGGAGTCTCGCTCTGTCGCCCAGGCCGGACTGCGGACTGCAGTGGCGCAATCTCGGCTCACTGCAAGCTCCGCTTCCTGGGTTCACGCCATTCTCCTGCCTCAGCCTCCCGAGTAGCTGGGACTACAGGTGCCCGCCACCGCGCCCGGCTAATTTTTTGTATTTTTTAGTAGAGACGGGGTTTCAGCGTGTTAGCCAGGATGGTCTCGATCTCCTGACCTCGTGATCCGCCCACCTCGGCCTCCCAAAGTGCTGGGATTACAGGCGTGAGCCACCACACCCGGCCGGGAGTTCTTTTCTTTTAGATCCCGCTTCCTCTTTCTTTGTTCATAACCCCCTAGATATTCTTTTATTCCTGTCCCCAAAATCTAAGCACCATCTGGGGAGTACAGAGGGGTTATTATATCTTAAAATTCTATTAAGTACATGCTTTAGAATGAAATATCTGCAATGTAAAGAAATATTTCTTTTTATAATATTAACTAGTTCTTACAACATAATTTTAATGCATAATTATGCTAATATAGTCTATATATTCTCTCTCTGTGTACATCTCTATCTGTAGCTCTATCTTTATATCTAATCAAGGATTTCATCCAAAAATTTGGAAAGGGGCAAGAAGATAAGCAAAAAGGAGAATGGGAAGGAAGAAAACCTTCACCCTCTGATGCTTACCAACTTTTGATCTATTTCATTTCTTGATTGCTAATGAGGTATACATCCCACAGAACTGTGGATTTGCCATATGTCTTCTTGAATCTCAATTTTTTCCCTTTATATAATTCAACACTATATTTTTAGATTGTCCTTGGTAGAGTGTATATTTTATCAATGTGAAATTCCTCTGATACAGTTTTTCAAGCTTTTTACGTAATATGCTATTTTTCTGTGTACAGTTTCTTTTAATGAGTATATGGTAGTCATATTTATATTGGATAATTATATATATATATTTATCCTGATAATTATTTTGTTTTCTATTTGTACTTTTTTGGTTTTTTTCCTTTGCTATTTTTTTAGGGGATTGATTGAATTCATTATTTTATTTCTTCCTTCTTGTTGGTTGGCAATCATATTTTCTCTATTTTTTTATAATGGTTATTCTTACATCCTGAACCATACTTTTACACTTACGTTTTTCTATTAAAGTCTAAATAGAACAAATGTATATAGCTTCCCCCGAAGACATAAATGTTATATACGTCCATTTCCCTCCTTTTTGCTTCCCCAACTCCACCACAGCTAACTCTCTTAATACAATCATCTGGAATTAGACTATTACATTTTAAAATTGATAAATTTTATATTTGTATTTATTTAGTCTTAACTATTTAGAATATTTATTTAGTCTTAACTATTATATTTCAGACTCTTTCTTCTATCTCATATCTTCATTTTCTGAACGTTTACATGCTTCCAAACTATCTTTATTTATTTTTCTAGTTTTATTGAGGTATAATTTATAAATAAAAATTGTATCTCTCTAAGGTGTACAACATAATGGTTTGCTATGTGTATACGTTGTAAGATGATTATCACAACCAAGTTAATTAACACATCATTACCTCACATCATTATCATTTTTGTGTGTGGTACAAACACTTAAGATTTATTTTCTTAACAAATTTAAAGTATATGATACAATATTATTAGCTATATACACCATGCTATACATTAGATCATCAGAACTCATTCATCTTATCACTGAAAGTTTGTATACCTTGACTGTTGTCTCCCTATTTCCTCCACGCCACATTCCCTGGCATCCACCATTCTAATCTCTGTTTCTGTGAGATCAAGTTTTTTAAATTTCACATAAAAGTGATAGTATAAAGTATTTGGCTTTCTGTGTCTGGGTTATTTCACTTAGCATAATGTCTTCCAGGTTCATCTGTGTTCTTGCAGATGGCAGGATTTTTTTCTCCTTATGGCTGTATAATATTCCATTGTGTGTGGGTGTATATGTGTAGACACACAACCCCTCCCTTCACATTTTCTTTATCCATTCATCTGTCAACAGACACTGAGGTTGTTTCAATATTTTGGCTATTATTAATAATACTGCAATAAGCATGATAGTGCAGATATCTCTTCAAGATACTGATTTCATATTTGTTGGAGATATACCAAGCAATGAGACTGTTAGATCAGGTGGTAGTTCTATTATTAATTATTTTAGGAAATTCGTACTGTTTTCCATAAGGCTGTACCAATTTACATTTCTAGCAATAATGTACAAGGGTTTCCTTTTCTCTACAATCTCATCAACACTTATTATCTTTCATCTTTTTGATAAAAGCCATTCTAATAGGCAGGAGGTGATATTTCATTATGGTTTTCATTTGCATTTGCATTTTCCTGATGATTGGTGATGTTGAGCATCTTTTTATATACTTGTCATTTGTATACCTTTTTTGGGAAAATGTCTATTTAGGTCATTTGCCCATGTTTTACTTGGGCTATCTGTTTTTTGTTTGTTTGTTTGTTTGCTATTGAGTTGTATGAGTTTCTTACGTATTTTAGATATTAACCTTTTATCATATGATGTTTTAGTCTGTTTTGTGTTCCTATTACAAAATACCACCAACTGGGTAATTTATAATGAACAGGAATGTATGGACTTACAGTTTTGAGGGCTGAGAAGTTCAACATCAAGGTACCTGCATCTGTTAGGCCCTTTGTGCTGCATCATAACATGGTGGAAGGCATCACATGGCAGAAAGACAAAGAGAGGACAAGAAAGAGACAAAAGTGGGATGAACTTGTGCTTTTATAAAGAACCCACTCCTCAATAACAGCATTAACGCATTCATGAGGGTACAGCCCTCATTACCTCAACATCTCTTAAAAGCCTCACCTTCCAGCACTTCCACATTGGGGATCAAATTTCCAACACATCAACTTTAAAGGGCACATTCAGACAATAGCATATGATTCGCAAATATTTTCTCCCATTCCACAGGTGGCCTTTTCATTTTATTTTTGGTTTCCTTTGCTGTGCAGAAACTTTTTAGTTTGATGTAGCCCCAATTGTTTAGTTTTTGCTTTTGTTTCCTATGCTTTTGGTGTTATATCCAAAAAATCTTTGCCTGGGTCAATGTCAATAAGATTTTCCACAGTGTCTTCTTCTAGGAGTTTTATGGTTTCAGATCTTACATTTAAATCTTTAATCCATATTAAGTTAGGTTTTGTATATAGTGCATGATAAGAGTCCAATGTCATATCTTTGCAATGTAGATATCCAATTTTCCCATTTATTGAGGAGATTGTCCCTTCTACAAGGTGTAATCTTGATGCCCCTGTTAAAGACTACTTGACTGTATATACCAGGATTCATATCTAGGCTCTCTATTTTATTCCATTGGTCTATGCGTAATCCACCTTTAGTAGAGACAGGGTTTTACTGTTTTGGTCAAGCTGGTCTCAAACTCCTGACCTCAAGTGATCTGCCTGCCTCAGCCTCCCAAAGTGCTGGGATTACAGATGTAAGCCACCATGTCCGGCCTATGTGTCTGCTTTTACACCACTGCCATACTGTTTTGATTACTATAGCTTTGTAGCATAGTTTTAAATCAGGAAGTGTGATGTCTCCAGGTTTTTCCTTCTTTCTGAAAATTGCTTTGGCTACTTGAGGCCTTTTGTGGTTTTATATGAATTTTAGGATTTTTTTTTTCTATTTGTATGAAATATGCCATTGAAATATTGATAGGGGCTACAGTGAATCTGTAGATTGCTTTGAATAGTATGGACATTTTATCAATATTTCCAATCCATAAACGTGGACTATCTTTTTATTCATTTGTGTTTTCTTCAATTTCTTTCTCAACGTCTTATAGTTTTTGATGTACAGATCTTTCAACTCCCTGATTAAATTTATTTCTAAGTATTTAATTGTTGCTATTGTAAATGGGAATGTTTCAATTTCTTTTTCAAACACTTAATTGTTTGTGTAAGAAACACAGGTGATTATTGTTTGTTGATTAGCTTTCTGCTACTTTACTGAACTAATTTATTAATCCTAAAATTTTTTAGAGGATTATTTAGAGTTTTCTATATATAGATCATATCATCTATAAATAACGACAATTTAACTTTTTCCTTTCTGATTTGGATACGTTTTTTCCTCTTGCTTAATTGCTCTGTGTAGAACAGTACTCTGTTGAATAGAAGTGGTGGAAGCAGGAACTCTTGTCTAGTTTCCGATTTTAGAGGAAACACTTTTTAGTTTTTCCTTATTTAGTATGATGTTAGCTGTAGGGTTGTCATACATGGCCTTTAGTATGTTGAGGTAGATTCCTTCTGTACTGAATTTATTGAGTTTTTATCAAAAGGATATTAATTTTTTTCAAATACATTTTGTGCAGCTATTGAAATGATCATGTGATTTTTATCCTCCACTTTGATAATGTGGACTATCATATTTATTGATTTCTGTCAAACCATCTTTGCATTCAAGAGACAAAGCCTATTTGTTCATGGTGTACGATCCTTTTAATGTGTTGTTGAATTTGGTTTGCCAATATCTTGTTGAGGATTTTTGCACCTATGTTCATCAGGAATATTTGCCAGTAATTTTCTTTTCTTGTAGTGTCTTTATTGGGCTTTAATATTAGAGTAATGCTGACCTCATAAAATAGGTTTCAAAGTATTCTTTCATCTTCAATTTTTTGGAAGAGTTTGAGAAAGAATGGCATTAATTTGTTTTCAATGCTTAGTAAAATTTACCAGTAAAGCCATCTTGTCCTGGGCTCTTCTTTAACAGGAAACTTTGTATTATAGATTCAATCTTCATACTCATTATTGTTATGTTCAGATTTTCTGTTTCTTCATAATTCAGTCTTTGTAGGTTGTATGTTTCTAGAAATTTATTCCTTTCTTATAGGTGATGCAATTTGTTGGTGTATAATTGTTCATAGTGATCTCTTATGATCCTTTGTATTTCTGTGGTATCAACTGTAATGTCTTATCTTTCATTTATTATTTTATTTATTTGAGTTCTCTCGCTCTCTCTTATTTTTTTCATTTGTCTAGCTGAAGGTTTGTCCATTTATTTATCTTTTCAGGAAGCCAACTCTTACTTTTGTTGATCATTTCTATTGTATTTAGGATTGTGATCTTTTTATAATGAACTAGTCCTTTTATGATTATATAATGCCCCTCTTTAGCTTTTTTAACTGCTGTTGCTTTAAAGTTTGTTTTGTTTAATGTAAGAATAGCTTCTTATGCTTGCTTTTGGTGTCCGTTTGCATGGAACATCTTTTCCCATAGTTTTTCCTTAAGCTTATATGAGTCCTTACATGTTAGGTGAGTCTCCTGAATATAGGAGAAACTTGGTGGGTGAATTCTTACCCATTCTTCCATCCTGTGTCTTTAAGTGAAGCATTTAAGTCATTTACATTCAATGTTAAAATTGAGATGTCATGTACTATTCTATTCATCATGCTATTTGTTGCCTGACTACCTTGTGTTTTTTCCTCATAGTGTTATTGTTACATAGGTCCTGTGAGATTTATGCTTTAAGGAGGTTCTATTTTGGTATATTTCAAAGATTTGCTTTAAGATTTAGAGCTCCTTTTAACAGTTATTGTAGTGCTAGCTTGGTAGTGGCAAACTCTCTCAGCATTTGTCTGGAAAAGACTGTATCTTTTGATCTATGGAGCTTAGTTTCACTGGATAAAAAATTCTTGGCTGATAATTGTTTTTTAAGGAGGTTAAAAATAGGACCTCAATTTATTCTAGGTTGTAGGGTTTCTGCTGAAAAATCTGCTGTTAATCTGATAGGTTTTCCTTTATACGTTGCCTGATGCTTTTGCCTCACAGCTGTTAAGATTCTTTCCTTTGTCTTGACTTTAGATAACCTGGTGACTACGTGCCTAGGTAATGATCTTTTTGCGATAAATTTCCCAGGTATTCTTTGAGCTTTTTGTATTTGGATGCCTGGATCTCTAGCAGGGCCAGGGAAGTTGTCTCCTCAATTATTCCCTCAAATATGTTTCCCAAACTTTTAGATTTCTCTTCTTCCTCAGGAATACCAATTATTCTTAGGCTTGGACATTAAACATAATTCCAAATTTCTTCGAGGCTTTGTTCATTTTTTTAAAATTCTTTTTTCTTTGACAGATAGGGTTAATTCAAAAGCCCTGTCTTTGAGCTCTGAGTTTCTTTCTTCTTTTTGTTCAGTTCTATCACTGAAGCTTTCCAATGCATTTTGCATTTCTCTAAGTGTATCCTTTATTTCCTGAAGGTGTGATTGTTTTTTATTTAAGCTATCTATTTTACTGAATAATTTTTCTTTCATATGCTGTATCATGTTTTTTATTTCTTTAAGTGGGACCTCACCTTTCTCTGGTTCCTCGTTGATTAGCTTAATAATCAGCCTTCTAACTTCTTTTTCTGTCACTTCAGAGCTTTATTCTTGTTTTGGATTAGTTGCTAATGAGTTGGTATGATCTTTTCAGGGATGTTAAATAACCTCATTTTATCGTATTACCAGAATTTTGTTCTGGTTCCTTCTCATTTGGGTAGACTATGTCAGAAGGAAGATCTGGGAATCAAGGACTGCCTTTCAGGTTATTTTGTCCCTTAGGGTCCTCCTTTTATGTGGTGTTCTTCCCCTTTCCCTAGTAATGTGGGAATCTCAGGAAGCTGAGAGCCGAACTGTAGTGAATGTTTTTGCTGTTCTGGGTCTAGCCACCCAGCAGAGCTACCAGACTCTGGGCTGGTACTGGGGAGTATCTGCAAAGAGTCCTCGGATGTGATCTGTCTTCAGGTCTTGCAGCTGTGGATACCAGCACCTGCTACAGCAGGGTTAGCAGGGGAGTGAAGTGAACTCTGTGAGGGTCTTCAGTTGTGTTTTTGTTTAGTGTGCTGGTTGGCCTCCAGCCAGGAGGTGGTGCTTTCAAGAATGCATCAGGTGCAATCCTACAGGGAGGATGCAAACTTGCCATAGGGACACCTGGTTGGTTAAGTATTCAAGTTTCTCAGGCAGTGGGCAGGGCCATAGAGGTCCCAAGAGATCATGACCTGTCTTCAGCTACCGAGGTAGGTAGAGAAAGACCACCAGGTGGGGCAAGGATAAGCATGTCTGAGCTCAGCCCCTCCTTGAGCAGGGCTTGCTATGGCTGTTGTGGAGGATGGGGGTGTGGCTCCAAGACCAATAGAGTTATATTCACAGAGAGATTATGGCTGCCTCAGCCGAGTAATAGAGGTCACCAGGGGAAGTGGGGGAAATCCAGCAGTTACAGGCCTCACCCTGCTCCCATGCAGCTCACAGTCCTAAAGGCTGATCTTACTCCCATTGTGCCCCTACTCCACAAAGCACTGAGACTATTTCCAGGCAGCCAGTGACCAGGGCTGAGAACTTGCCCCAGACCATGAGCCTCCTGCATTAAGAAAACAAGCAGACTCATAGTTTTTTATTATCTCAGGGAGCCTCCAGCTGTGATTCAGTTCCTTCAAAGGGTCTGTGAATTCTCTCAGCTTTCCTGGTATATTCCTGCAGTAGTTATTGGAGCAAAATTCATGATATGAGCCTTCACATGTTGCTCTGTCTGTCTGAGCAGGAAGCTAGTCATGCCTCCTATCCCACATCTGACCTGTCATTAAAAAAATAAAGTCATAATTATAAGTCCTTAAAGTAAGTACAGGATTATTGCTTTTGATTGCCACAAGGATGGAGATGGATCTGGTTACCTGTACTTCAGGACCTTGCCAGGGTTTTCCCCTTATCCCCTCCTATCTCCTGAGGACATGGGGCTTGTAATTTTCATGTTCATTTGCTTAATAGTGGCATGCTTTAATTCTTCTTCTCTTTATCTTTTGTGTATCTACTAGCGATTTTTTTCTTTATAGTTACCATGAGGCTTATATAAGCGTCTTATAGTTATAATACTTTATTTTAAGCTGATAACAACTTAACTTAGTCACACAGAAAAACTCTACACTTTTACTTCTCTCCTCCCTCACATTTTATGCTATTGATGTTACACTTTACATATTTTTATGTTCTATATTATTAACAAATTATTGTAGCTATAGTTATTTTTAATACTTTTATAACATTTATACTAGAAGTAAAAGTAATTTGTGCACCACCATTACAGTATCAGAGCATTCCAATTTGACTATACATTTACCTTTACCTGTGGCTATTATACATTCATGTTTTCATGTTGTTATTTACTATCCTTTCATTTCAATGTGACAAATTCTCTTTATCATATGTAAGGCATAGCTAATGGTGATTAACTTCTTCAGCTTTTATTTGTCTGGGAATATCTTTATCTCTCCATCATTTATGAAGAGTACCTTATAAGAGTATAATATTCTTGAATGGCAGATCTTTCTTTTGGTACTTTGAATATATTACACCACTTTCTCTTGGCCTGCAATTTGTTAGTAGCCTCATAGAGTTCCCTTGTGTGTTACAAGTTACTTTTCTCTTGCTGCTTTCAAAACTCTCTTTGTCTTTGACTTTTGATAATTTGATAATAATGTGTCTCAGGTATTTACTTTGGGCTCACCTTGGTTGGAGTCTTCAGGAATTTGCATGCCTTATATCCTTCTCAAGTTTTGGGAGGTTTTAAACCCTTATTTCTTATTTTTTTTAAGATGGAGTCTCACTCTGTTGCCCAGGCTGGGGTACAGTGGTGCAATCTCAGCTCACTGCAACTTCCGCCTCCTGAGTTTAAGCAATTCTCCTACCTCAGCCTCCTGAGTAGCTAATTTTTGTATTTTTAGTAGAGACAGGGTTTCACCATGTTGGCCAGGTTGGTCTCAAACTCCTGACCTCAAGTGATCTGCCCACCTCAGCCTCCCAAAGTGCTGGGATTACAGGTGTGAGCCACAGCACCCTATTTTTTTAAATCAAGAAATATGCTTTAACTAAAATTATTTCTCTGTTTTCTCTCTCTTCTTTTTGGGAACTCTCATAATGCATATATTTGTTCATTTGATGGCATCCCATAGGTCCCCTATACTTTCTTTGTTCTTTTTCTCTCATTCCTTTTCTTTTTTGTGCCTATGTCTGGCTATTTTTAAAGACTGGTATTCAAGTTCACTGATTCTTTTCTCTGTACAATGGAGTCCGCTGTTGAAGCTCTCAATTGCATTTTTTTTTGTTCTGCCACTGTATTCTTTAACTTCTGGATTTTTGTTTTGCTCTTTTTTGTGGTTTTTATTTTTTATTGAACTTCTTATCTTGTTTATGCTCTTTTCCTGATTATATATAGTTGTTTATTTGTATTCTCTTATATTTCATTGAACTTCTTTAAGATGATTATTCTGAATTCTTTGTCAGGTAATTTATAGACTCAATTTCTACAAATTGGAGATTGGAGCTGGTTATTGGATTGGTTATTGGAACTCTATTAGTTTCCTTTGGGTATGTTGTGTTTGTGTGATTCTTCATGATTCGTGTAGATTTACATCAGTGCTTGTGCATTTGAAGGAGCAAACACCTCTTCCAATCTTTAAAAACCAGTTTCAGCAGTAAAGACCCTCTGCTGGAAGTCCCTGGGTTGATGGATTGCCTCTGGGATTACAGTCAACTGGGGTTGGAGCCAGGTTATGTGGTTGCTGCTACTTTTTTTTTTTTACTGGGGTCTATGGTTGAACGGCCTATTACCAGAGTTTCAAGTGAGCATGGATCCTGTCTGGTTCCTGGGCGAAGGATATTGCCTCTAAGACCTTGGTCAATAGGGCTGGCACTAGTACAAGGGTCTGCTTTCAGGTCCACAATTGGATCCACATATAGCAGACCTTTTACCAAGTGTGTAGATGGGTGTGATTCCTGCTGGGTCTTTATAAGGGTTTCTGTCAGGTCACTGTATGGGTCTCTGGATGGGTAGGACTGCCCTGAGACTGTGGCTGAGTGCAGTTGCAGCTGGGTCACAGGGCTTTCTCAGGATCTAGAGTTGATTTGAGGTTGGCAGATCTAGATTCCAGAGCATGGATAGGCATGTCACCTGGAGGGTCCTTGGGTGGGTAGGACTGTTCCTGGGCCACAGATAAGAGGAGCTAAAATGGAGTTACCAGAGCTACTTCAGGATCCGAGTTGAATCAAGATCTTCAAGCCTGCCTCCAGGGACACAGATGGGTATATCTGCTGCCAGGTCTCTGGGAAGGCAAGACTGCTCATTGACTGTGGTCAAAAGAGTCTATAGCCAACTTACTGGCACACTTCAGGATCTGCAATAGGACTGAGGTCAGTGGGCCTGCCTTTAAGGGTATGGTCAGGCATGTCTCTTGGCCAAATTCCAGTAGAACCTAGATACATCTGCAAGAAGTGAGTATTAAATATGAAAGTCTGTGGAACCAACCAAATATCTGGTAGTTGCCATCCTATACACATTTTCCTTCTGTATGAGACATAAATGGTGTATAGCTTGAGCATTATTTAACTCATCAAGGCACATCTAACTCACTAGGATACATACTAGTAAATCTATAATTGATTCTGCTCATTCAAAGCTTTGGATGACTTTCCTTGTTGGTGTCATAGTCTGAGCATCAATTGTAAAACTTATCTTCACCATAGTAGCTAGACTAATTTCCCCTGGAAATGTTTAGAATTTTCTTTCTATGCTATTGTAAGGTTTTGGAAAAGTAATTTCCAATTATGCATATTTTCACATTACTTTTGTTTGGCAATTGGTGAATTTTTTTCAACATGAATAATTTTACCTTTTAAAAAATTATCTTTTATAATTTTTATTTGGGAAACTATCTTTTATAATTTCCTTGTTTATTTTCTACTATATTCTTCTATCTTTCTGTGATTTCTATGGGAAGATACTGAAAGTTCTGTATCTATTCTCCATGTCACGTACTTTTTAATTATATTTTCCATCAGTAGCTGGTGCTGTTGATGCTCCACTCAGTTCCCAATTATCACTTTTGAGAATATTCTCCAAATGCTGTCTGCATTACTGCCAAAAGTTTACACCTCTGACTTTCTTTGGAGAGCTTTCCTTGGGCACTTGGAGATGCTTTGCTTGGGAGATGACCGGTAGTCAATGACTAATCAAGGTAGGGATATAAAAGCCCAGATCCTTTGCCTCAAGGTGAGACAAACTCTCTAGGGAAATTTGCCTTTCAGAATGCTCCATAAAATAGATTGAGGCTAGACATCATTTGAAATCACAATTTTGCTTGACTTTTTCTTTTCTGTTTTCTTTCTTGCATACAAGTTTTCTTTTTCATGGGGAGGTGGTCCTTAATAAATTACTTTTATATAAATCCTTGTCTCAGTCTTTTTTAAATATAATTCCATGGTCTCTTTATCTTGTTACACTCCATTTCTGGAGAATTTCTTAGTTCTATCACTCAGTTCACTAGATTTATCTTTGGCTATGTCTACTTAATAATTAAGCCCGACTATACTTTTTTATTTTGCTAATTAAAATTTTAATTAATAAAAATTGTCCCCAAATATTTATGGGTTAAGTGGCATCATATCTGGGATTTAATTAAAATAGCCCAGGGTGGAAGTGGAAGGGTAAGTGGGGGTAATGATAAAATATAATAAGCTATGAGATGCTAATTATTGAAGGTATGTGAGAGGTACATGTAGGGGCGTTGATTATATTATACTTTCTTTAGTTGAATATGTTTAAGATTTTTTGTAATAAAATCTTGTTTTAAAATTATCTGTTGGTTAATTTTTATTATTTGTGAATATAGTCTTGAATTTTTCTAAGATTATTAAAGATGGTTATGCCCAATGGACATTGTTTGCCCTATTGTCTTTTTGAGGGTTTTTAAATGTTACTTATCTTAGTTTATTTTTTATTTCATTTTGCTTTGACATCCTTCTTTTCTCATTCATGGTGTTAATTTTTCTCAAATAGTTAGGAATATTGAATATTTGTCATTCAAAAATTTTTCTGATCATCTTTGAATATGAGAATCCCTGTTAATTGGCCTGTTATGCTTATAGCAGCTTGTGTCAGATGACTGAGTGAACGAATGATAGTGCCCATTCTATGCAGTGGTCCAAGAGTTTACTAACAGTACACAGGTATTCCTCATCTCTCGTGGAACACTTGGCTATCTGGATTACTGGTCTGCCTCTCTGACTGTAGTGTCACCAGTCTCTGTTATATTTTATACATAAAAGTGTAAATACAGGGTGTTTTTGGAAGGTGATTTGGGGTAGAGTTAGGTATTGTATTAGTCCATTTTCACACTGCTATAAAGAACTGCCTGAGACTGGGTAATTCATAAAATAAAGAGGTTTAATTGACTTACAGTTCAGCATGGCTGGGGAGGCCTCAGGAAACTCACAATCATGATGGAAGGTGAAGGGGAAGCAAGGCACCTTCTTCACAAGGCAGCAGGAAGGAGAAGTGCTGAGCAAAGGGGGAAGAGCCCCTTATAAAACCATCAGATTTCATGAGGACTCACTATCATGAGAACAGCATGGGGGAAACTGCCCCATGATATAATTACCTCTGCTTCTGCCTAGACATGTGGGGATTATGGGGATTCAAGATGAGATTTGGGTGGGGAAACAGAGCCTAACAATATCATTCTGTCCCTGGCCCCTCCCAAATCTCATCTCATGTCCCTTTCACATTTCAAAACCAATCATGTCTTCCCAACAGCCTTCCAAAGTCTTAATTTATTCCAGCATTACCCCAAAAGTCCAGGTCCAAAGTCTCCTCTGAGACAAGGTAAGTCCCTTCCACCTATGAGCCTGTAAAATTAAAAGCAAGTTAGTTACTTCCTAGATACAATGGGGGTACAGGCATTGGTTAAATACACCCATTCCAAATAGGAGAAATTGGCCCAAACAAACAGGCTATAGGCACCATGCAAGTCAGAAATCCAGTGGGGCAAAGCTCCAAAATGATCACCTTTGACTCCATGTCTCACATCCAGGTCATGCTGATGCAAGAGGTGGGCTCCCATGGCCTTGGGCACCTCCACCCTGTGGTTTGCAGAGTAGAGCCTCCCTCCTGGCTGCTTTCACAGGCTGGCATTGAGTGCCTGTGGCTTTTCCAGGCACATGGTACATGCTGTTAATAGATCTAGCATTCTGGGGCCTGAAGGATGGTGGCCCTCTTCTCACAACTCTACTAGGCAGTGCTCCATTGAGAACTCTGTGTGGGGGATCTGACCCCACATTTCCCTTCTGCACTGCCCTAGCAGAGGTCCTGTGTGAGGGCCCTGCCCTGCAGCAAACTTCTGCTGGACATCCAGGTATTTTCATATATCCTCTGAAATCTAGGCAGCAGTTTCCAAACCTCAGATCTTGACCTCTGCGAACCCACAGCCCAACACAATGTGTAAACCACCAATGCTTGAGGCTTGCACCCTCTGAAGCAATGGCCTGAGCTCTATATTGGCTCCTTCTAGCCACTGTTGGGACGTAGAGCACCAAGTCCCAAGATTGCACAAAGCAGCAAGGTCCTGAACCTGGCTTATGATACCACTTTCTCCCCTAGGCTTCTAGGCCTGCAATGGGAGGGACTGCTGTAAAGACTTCTGACATATCCTGGAGACATGTTCCCCATTGTCTTGACAATTAATATTTGAATCCTTGTTACTTATGCAAATTTCTGCAGCCAGCTTGAATTTCTCCTCAGAAATGGGTTTTTCTTTTCTATCACATTGTCAGCCTGCAAATTTTCCAAACTTTTATGCTCTGGTTCCCTTTTGAACATAAGTTCCAATTCCAAACCATCCCTTTGTGAATACATGAAACTCAATGCTTTTAAGAGCCCCCAAGTCACATCTTGAATGCTTTGCTGCTTAGAAATTTCTTCTGCCAGATGTCTGAATTAATCTCTGTCAAGTCTGAGGTTCCATGGATCTCTAGGACAGGGGCAAAATGCTGATGCTACCCGTCTTTTGCTAAAGCATAGCAAGAACTTTATTCCAGTTCCCAAAAAGTTCGTCATCTCCATCTGAGACCACTGGAGCGTGAATTCATTGTCCATATCGCTATCAGCATTTTGGTCAAAGCCATTCAACAAGTCTCTAGGAAGTTCCAAACTTTCCCACATCTTCCTTTCTTCTTCTGAGCCCTCCAAACTGTTCCAACCTCTGCCTGTTACCCAGTTCCAAAGTCACTTCCATATTTTTGGGTATCTTTATAGCAGCACCCTGCTCTCTGTGGTATCAATTTACTGTATTAGTCAGTTTTCATAGTGCCATAAAGAACTGCCTAAGACTGGGTAATTCAATAAGTAAAAAGGTTTAATTGATTCACAGTTCAGCATGGCTGGAGAGGCCTCAGGAAACTTCTAATCATGGCAGAAGGTGAAGGGGAAGCAAGACACCTTCTTCGCAAGGCAGAAGGAAGGAGAAGTGCTGAGCGAGGTGGGGAGAGCCCCTTATAAAACCATCAGATCTTGTGAGAACTGACTATCATGAGAACAGCATGGAGGAAACAGCCTCCATGATCCAATTACCTCCACCTTGTCTCTCCTTTGACATGTGGGGATTATGGGAATTATGGGGATTATAATTCAAAATGTGATTTGGGTGGAGACATGAAGCCTAACCATATTGGTATCTATTTGTTTAGCTTCTCTAAATGCAACTCTCTTCTCTGAATGTAGCAGGAGTTCTTGTCTCCACTGACTGTTGATTTCGAAGCACCCTCCTCTCAAGCAATCCTTACTCCATAATGGCTTATTCCTGAACATTTTTAGTGCTATAATTTTCTTCAGTTTTAAATTTTCATAAATATAATACTGTCTGCTTCTGTCTTACATGGATTTCCTTTCCTGCACTGTTATGAATTATTTTTTTTAATGTGTGTGTCTGTATGTGTTTGCGTGTGTGTGTGTGAGTGTTTGTGTGTGTATGCATTGTTTCATGGCATCTGTATAAAGGAAAGAGAGTCATGTGAGCAGAATTCACCATCTTGATCCAATCCCCCTTTTACATCCACTAGAACATATGATTTTATTGTTGCAATTTATTTCCTTGTCATCTAGTTTATAGTTTTTGCATCCTATCCTATTTTCTTTTGTCTCATTTTGTTATTTCCTCCTGGCTTTCTGTTCCCATGTAATGGTCTTCTGCATGCTATTGAATATGCTACATGCCTTGTTTTCAAGTTTGTTCTAGTTTCTATACTAGATTATATTCAGAAAAGAGCTTGACTTTGGGTTAAACTTAGCTCATCTTTTTTTGAGGTAGAGCAGGAGAGCATGCTGATTCAACAGTTCAGAGCACAATTCCCGTGATCCAGTCAGTGTCTATCAGTTGTTTCTCTAGGGTAGCTTCTTGGACCAATGCAGGAAGACATACCCTGATGTCCATTTCTATTTCTCTAATACTCCGTGTCCTCTCTTCCCCTATCCTGTAGCTCTAAAACTCTTTTAGTTAGGGCTAAATCTCACAAAAAGATTGTGCCAAAACCAGATCTTTTAAATCATCTATGAATTTCTAAGTACAAATTAAAATAGAAAGATTAATTAATTCAATTACTCAAGAATTATTACCTTCCTTCTCCATGCTTTCCTGAGACTGGGACTGGGAGTCAGCATGTGAAAATTTACTTTGCCTATCATAAAAGCCACATAGATACTCTAGAGGAAGAAGACTTCTGGATGTTATGGATTATCTGAGCTGAAGCTAGGGATGAAGAAGGCCTTCCTACATTGTCTTTTTTCACCTTGAGTGGAGTTTCCCTATTTTGTCTATTCTATCTTTAGGGTACATTTCCTACATATGTTAACAATAGTTTCTCTCTTAGGGTTTGATTAGGGTATTGGTATGAGGTGTTTGTTTTTTTCTCACATACATTCTGGTGGAAAGTGATTTGAATGCCTGCCTCAAAAACTACTAGCAACTGTAGAAGTACAGATTAATTTTTGGCTTCTGTTAAGCATTGATTTTTCTTTACAACAAAGACCATACCTTAACTGTGGTTTTATCAATAGTTTATCATTCCAGATTTTAAATAATTTTTTTTTGTTTTGAGTTGGAGTCTCTCTCTGTCGCCCAGGCTGGAGTGGAGTGCAGTGGTGAGATCTTGGCTCACTGCAACCTCTGCCCTCTGGGTTCAAGTGATTCTCCTTCTTCAGCCTCCTGAGTAGCTGGGACTACAGTGCATGCCACCACACCCTGCTAATTTTTTGTATTTTTAGTGGAGGTGGGGTTTCACCCTGTTAGCCAGGATGGTCTCAATCTCCTCACCTCATGATCCGCCCACCTTGGCCTCCCAAAGTGCTGGGATTACAGGCATGAGCCACCATGCCTGGCCTTTAAATACATTTGACTCACTAACTGTAATGCTGACAGAAGAAAATTATTTCAAAAACAATCTTCATTACTAGACAAGATTTTGATGGACACTGGTAATTCAACATGTTGCACTGTCCAGTAGAATATTACCAGGAGTTACTCTCTCAAGTTCCATCATTGTCCTTGGTTTTTCTTAAAGAAAACTCACTGAACAAAGTAGCTATCTGTGGCAACTTCACAGATTGTACCACTTCAGGTGGTGATTCTGCTTCTGATTTTTACTAGATTAAAAACACCAAACTTATGGGGAGGAGAACTGCTTCTCTCCGCATTTGTGTATTGCACTTACGTATCACCTCTACCATAGTACTAAAATAAATATATAAAACAACAAAGACAAAATAATAGCATTTTCTAGTATAGCATCAATAATAGCATCAATCTGTCCCCTCTCTACTCTTTTCTTGAAGTAGGACTTGGGTTTTCTTTAACCACCAAATACTTTAGAGGTTGAATTTTGTAAAGGAAATTTCTTATTTTGAAGCATTTTAAAGTTTCCTTCAATGTTTTGAAATGTTCCATTGACATTTCTAATATAGGATTAATATTTTTTATGTTTGCTACAGCATGGACATAATTTCCTTATTAGATTCAGTAAGAGTTATTGTCACAATTTTTAAATGACTCAAATATTCTTTTAAAAAAGTATATCTAACATAAGTGTCCACTGAAACTAATAAAAATTTGGAGACTTTAACTTTGATCTTAATCTGTTAATTATTATTTTGCCATAATAGTGAAAGTTATACCTGGGTATATCTATTAGTGACATTATTCCTTACTGGCTGCTGGGTGTCAGTATGTCTGACTCTGATCTTATCCTCTCTATTAATTGACAGGGTCGGACTGGCTTCTCTATTCCATTTATACTCCGGACACTACGCTGAGGAGATGATAAATATTATCGTCCTTAGTGACATTGGGGCTTTGTCTATTAAAACCTGAATTTCTATAAATGCATGCTGACTTCTCAGTGAATGTCTAGCCTATAGTGCTCTCAGGATTGTAAAGCCATAGCTTCTTCTAATTTTTAAATGCTCCCTGGAACAACTCATGAATCCTTAGCAAGAACATACACAGACCTTCAGGAAAATGTGACAGCTGGAGTGTAGATTTTCAGACCACTAACCATTTATTAGTTACGCTTTGGAGGCCTGGAAGTGAATTTTTTCGAAAAAAAGTATACCTTGTATTGTGTCTAAATTTTTGGTGGAATGAGTATAGGTTATGTAATCTCATAAAATTCAGGCCTTAGAGTCAGGTCTCCTTTTGATATCTCCTTTTGATAATGCAATATCTGTTTAAAAATAGTATCTATATTTCTTTTTTAGTTATTAACACGATACATTTTATTATAAGAAATGTAAAAAAGAGGGATGAGTAAAACAAAACAGGAAAATAAAAATGCTCAGATAAAAACTCCATTAACAACAAAGAAAATAGCTCTCACATATTTTTTAAACTAGTTTTTAATGACACATTTAATATCTGAACACCTCCTTTTTGTATAAAATTAAATTAGTAAAGGTAATCGCCATCTTCAATTCCAATTTCTACCCAGTTATTAAACTTCTGTTTATCTGTCCAAACTTTTTTCCTATGCATTACAGAAACACACACACACACACACACACACGTAAGTGCTCCATTGTCCCTTTACATGTCAGCGTGTACTTCTTAAAACCACACTCTCCCGCATAACACATTGTTACCATCAATATTAGGAAATCAACATTGATACAATATCAACATTCAAATTTTGTTGACTGTCACAATAAAGCCATCTATAACTATTTTTTCTCATTCTAGTATCCAATCAAATATCATGAATTGCATTTAGTTATCATGTCTCTATAGTCTCTTTCTGTATAGAACTGTCCTTTAATCTTTTCTTGTGTATCATGACCTTGATATTTTTAAAGAGTATGGTCAGTTTCTTGGTATAATGTCTCTCAATTAGCATTGGTCTATTGTTTCTTCGTGATTAGAATTAGGCTATGCTTTGGTTATAGTGATGTCTACAACATATAAGAGGCACACAATGCTGATATATGTGATATTCACTTTTGACACTATTAAAATGGTCTCTTCTAGGTTTCTCCATTGTAAATTTAATTAAAACACATTTTATAGTTGTTTAATATTCAATAAGTATTTTTCAGAAACACTTAAAAAAATCTTGTTTCTCATCAAAATTTTCTTCACTAATTTTAGCATCCATTGCTGACATTTGCCTGAAATAATTAATAGTAGGATGCAAAAGGGGATTGTCTAATGCCATCTTTCTTTACAGATTTATTACTAGGTGTTTTGCTACAAGATAAAGCTTTCTGGTTTTGTCCATTTAGTATTCATTTTTAAAAAATATTAATATAGAGTAATAGATTCTTATTTTATTAAATGGATTATAATTCCTTAGTATCATTATTTATCTTGATATTCAGATTATCCAAGATTTGGCCCTTTGTTCTTGTGTTCTCTTCATTCTTTGAGCAGTTGTTTATTTTCTGGCACAGCTATTTTTCCAAGGATTTCTGGTTTTTTAAATTTTTTAATGAGGAGAGGTATGTAGAAACCAAGATTTGGGTGCTCAGTGTGTTTGTTACTGAAGTGTCATTGCTTCAAGGACAGAGCTTAGAAATATATGTTTCCACATGTACTTCTATATTTATTTCTATATTAGAAACTTCGTGTTCACAGTAATATCGTCAATACCAAACCAATACTACAAGGTTTATTTTAGACGGTTCCCTTTTCATATTTGTAACTCCCATCTCTTGCAAGAGAAATGTTGTTCCCACTGTCCTCATTGTGTTTATTTATTTACTCAGTCTCCCTATATAAAAACAATATCCTCAATTTGCAATTTGCCTCCTTAGCCCCAGCCATGCCAAATATACCAATGCAGCTGGTGCACTGCTCAGCCTCTCCAAAGGAGGGAAAAGGAGAAAAGGGCCTCCTAGATTTTTAAGTAAACACATTTCAGCTTATTTTTTTCCTGTCATAATTATGCATTATCTATGTTGTCCCCCTGTATAAGTCAAGAAAGAAGCATGCTTTTAATTTTATCTGTCCCCTCAACCCCTATTTCTTTTGTTGAGATCATCTGAAATTTGATTTCCAGATTAATAAACTTTATATGCTTATTTATGTAGACTTAATAATTATTTTAAAGTTTTTAGTCATTATTGTTGTTTTCCCCCAACTCCATTCTTCTTCTTGCTGAATTCCATCTTTTAATACTACTTCAGAATATTTGTCAGTCTGTGGCTGGTAAATGTCTTTATTTCATTCTCATATGCCAATATTATTTGTCTAGCCACAGATTTAGAATTATACTGTTTTGAGTTCTTTACAGTTGCTTCCCATTTTTAAAAAATTTATCCAATATAGCTGATGGGAAGACTAGTCTCAGATATAAGACTCACTTATGACAATTATTAATAGAAGCCAATAGTAACAAGCAACCAAGAAATTTAACAAAACATAAGCAACAAAATAAGACAGCAAGGAAAGCTATAAAGTATTTTATATTGAAACAAAGCAGTCCTAAGACTTCTGTGGAGAATGATGAAAACCATATTGAAGAACATACATAGCTCAGAAAATATAAAGATAGTCCATGCTTTTGGATGGGAAAACTTGACATGTAAAGATACCATTATTTACACCAATAATCTGTAAATTCATTGGAAGCTCTTTCAAAGCTCTAGCTGAAATTTCTTGCAAATGTATTCTATGAGTATTGTATCCGCTTAATTTAAGATAAATAAACTGATAGAATAGAATAAAGAGCTCAGAGAAGGGAATATATATAAACACACACATGTATACATGTATATATATATTCAGGAGTAAGCTTAAGTTTAGCTCCCAGTCTCTTTAGAAAATATACAATCTTTACCAAGGTTTCATTATGTTAACTATATAAAAGTGAATTGCGAATGATTTTCTCTACTTCTAGTTTTTAGAATTATTTATATGATATAATAATCATTTATTCTTTAAAAGTTTAAAAAGCCTATTTGAATAAAATGACTTGGTAATTTGCTAACTTTATTATGAAAATTTTAACTACTTCTTTTATAAATCAATATTGGTAATTTATATTTTCCCAGAAAATTGATCATCTCTTTTTTTTAAAGAGAGCTATGATATTGCACATACTAATCTATTTTAAATTAATTCCTGATTTTTCTGGTCCCCTTTTATGTTTGGGTAGGTTTATCAAATATTTTTCCATTTTATATGTTTTGAAAGAACCAGCTCATGTTTATTTTACATATTATTCTTTTAAAATTGTTTTTTCTGTTTAAGAGTTATTTCTCTTATCTTTAGCTTTTCAGTTACCTATATTATTATTATTTTTTCTATTAAAAACAAATGCATATGGTGAGTATTTTTGTATCTGATTTATATATATTGCTTTTTAATTTTTATTAACTTTTTTATAGCTCAAAATTGAAGCTTTGAGTTCTTTTTCAATCCATAACTCAATACCTTTTTTTCTTCCTTTCTTTAGTATTAGGGTGGTTTAATTTTAAAAAATCTTTTTAGTCCTTTGGAATTTAGAAGAAAGATATATTAAACTATTCTTTAAGATATTGAAAACATATTTATAACTATTAAGGCAAAAATAAAGCAATTTCTACTGATTCCAAGAAAATGAGAAATTTTGTATGCTTGTACTTTCTCCAGCTGTTTTTTACCTCTTTATATTAAAATTTCTTGTTTATCATAACATAATCCCGAATTACAAAAATCAGGTTATTCACTTTTAGAGTACGTATTACCTCGTTCAATGTTTATTATGACACTTGCATTACATTTTATGAACATATTTTCAAAAATTAAGCAGTTGTTCAAATACTTTATTATTACCAATGCTCCTTCATAATATAATGAAATATATAATACAATGTAAATAAATATAAATAAATAAACATAATATAATGGCTAGTGGCTTTTAAGTTATTAGATTTATCTCTCCATCAGCTTGAGAATGGCCTTAAATAATTTTTAGGGAATATAATGTGGGTGGTAAGTTTTCTGAGCCCTGCTTTCTTGGCAATATATTCCTGTTGTTCTTACCACATGCCTGGCAATGCATATCTGTGGCTACTTGGGTTAGTGCCATACTTCTTCCTCAAGTTATAGAGGTTGCACCATTTTATCCTGGAGAATTAATTTTGTCCTGGAGATTAAAAACAGAACAACTGGATTTTTCTTTTTCTTTTAGAGATCATGTGTTTTTAAAATTTGTTTTCTGCTTGAACAAATGTGTGATTTTTTTTCTTATTATTAAAATTCCGAGAATGTATCCAAGATATATAGATCTTTTACATGTATTTTGTCTTATATGTGTATGTATGGGGAGAGTAAACTCTACCCCTTTGCCTCATGGTTCTATGAGGAGGTTTCATTGACACTCTTGGTCCCCTTGGAGGCTCCTTTTCCATTCTCTAGCCAGCTCCTTGGAAGGAGTTACTTATCTATTTTTCTATTTTGTGAGTTTAGAAGATGTTGGTCAGTCACTTCTGAATATTTATCTCTGTCTTTTTAGTTCAGTCTACCTGCACAGAAGATGCATATCTGTTGTCCTCTGACCTCTGTGGTCAGCTACCAGACCCTGTGTTGGAGAGCTGCAGTTGCACAGCCTTGCTAGTGACTTGGGTGGGTATGTCTGTCTGACTCAGGATTAAACTACTAGGAAACTCTTGTGGTCTAAGATTTAAGTCAGGTTCTCAAATCAGCCCTATGAACCAACTCATAGTTTCATTTCTCATTACATGATTATTTTGTTTTCTTTGTGATTCAGGAGGACAATGGGCACCCCATCCAAACTCTTAGTATTTGGTGTATTCTTTCTTTCAACTCACAGGTTCCAATATTTCTTCAGTTCAGAAAATTTCTTCTTGTTTTTCTCCTCTTCCTCCTCCCTTCTGTTTGCTCTGTGTTTCTCTTTAAATTTAGAAATTCCTATTATTGCTTTGTTTTCTTTGTGTGCGTTTTTGTCTGTGTGTTTTCTTTTCTTGATCTGCCAGTGGTCCTCACCCAATTTAAAGATTTTTGTGAATTTCGGCTGGGATTCCATCCCATTCACTTTTCAGGTGTTTCATAGAGATTATGAGCTGAGTTGGCCCTTCTTTCACTGTTTGTGGTAGCAGACACCTCAGGAATTCTGGTGCATGATGCCTCATGGACTGTTTCCATGGCTGATACAGTCTTTTTCCTATTTGCATGCATGGGTAGTCATTTCAAGACAATTTGGAAAGTGGACCAGGGACAGCTAATCATGTTTAAGTTACTATTTTTTCTGCAAGTCTGTTCACTTAAATGGGTTACATTCACCTGTGACTTAGTTTCCCTATTTGTAAAGCAGAGATAACCTCAATTACTTACCAGAGTCATGAAGATAAATATAGTTCATAGATGTGAAAAAGATTTGGAAGTGAATATTGTATGAAGCAGAAATTATGATTGGGCTTTTGAGTGGTCACAAATATTACAAGAAAATAAATTATGAGTTCAGGACTAAAATTTCCAACTGCTGTCTGTGGATTCCTTACATTAAAAATAGCCACTGGATATAATAATTTAGTTTAGTGATGCGCTCTGAGGGAACCAGAACAGAAACTAGTGACATATTCTTATAGCAGACCATGTGGGCAATCAGAATAGGAACAAATAAAGTATGCAGTTTATTTTTATTGTACATCTGTTCTTTCATTTCTATTTTCTTCGAGAAAACTGCTTCTTCAATAAAACCACCTTATGATGACTTTACTATGTTTCCATAATATTATGATGCAAATATTTCCTTATAGCCAGAGCTTGAGTGTGCAGGGGTAAAAGGCAGTGTTGCAAAGTTACTATTGAGATTTCTTTTTCTGTTGATCTCTTCAAATACAGGCAGGAGTTTCTCAGAATCTATAGGACTCAGGATAGTATTTTGGAAGCTTGTCGTGTTTTGGGTTTTTTTGGTTACTCATTTTAAAAAATCAAGTAACTTATTAAGCCTCAATTTCCTAAACAAAATAGAGATTATGTACCTTTGCTGAGTTGACAATTTTATGCATCATTCATATATATTCATGTATGTTTATATCAATATCTCAATTAGTAATTTTAAAATGAGTTTAATAATCTAATATTGTAAGCAATATCTAATACTCACTCATTTGTTCTAGGATGGCATGAAGGTAGAATCTGATTTAGATTGCTGAGGACTGAGGGGCTCTTTCCCTATGCTAATAATTTCTTTATCCTCTGTGGGATACCTGCACATGTCACCAGTTATATGCAGAGAGAACATCTATAGGACAAACTTAACAATAAGTAATACACTTCCTCATTTGCTTTTTAGAAATTACGCTGTACTAGGTATCAAAGCAGTAGGTACGAAAAACATCATCTTAGTGAGTATGCTGAGGGGCTGAATCAGTGTGGCTGAAGGCTGGGGATAGCAAACAATCTCATTATAAAGCATGTGATTAACATGGAATTGGTTATATTGGAACCTATAATTCCTAACAGACAGATAATGGGCAATGGGAACTCTTAAATTTAAACCATTTGCTCCTACATCTGATGTTGATGTGCTGTTAGTGAACAATTTTGTCCATGAAAATAATGAAATACTTATTAATAATACGGCCATATATTTATTTACATATAGACTTTGATTTCTTCAGGGAAATAACATATGGAATAAAAGAATGAAATTTTTAATTACTTAGATCTCTTACAAATCTTGTTTGGGCAAATCTTAAGGTATTTTATTTGGGTGATGCATTTCAAACGTCACTGAAGTTTTAATTACATCAATATAAAGACTCTTAATTAAACTCACAAGAAAAATAATTATTTGCATTAGCCATAATACCTTGTGCTATCACGTACTTGGCATGTCATTCAATAGAACCAGATCCTTGATTCTTTAAAGGTGATCATAAATTACTTAGTATTGACAGCTATGCTCAATCTTAGTTTGAAGAGCATACATTGTAGAATCAAAGTTCAGGCTGTGAATCAAGTTCAGAATGCTGTTCAGGCAGGGCTTCTATATATACAATGGTAATTCCACTGAAATCCACAAAATACTTTGATCATTCTTCAAGAGATAGGGCCTAATGAGTGGTATTTATCAAGGCCATTACAGAAAAAAAGATTGTGTGCAATTTCACTGTCTCTCTGGATTTCCACTTAGTCTACGTCAATTTCCCTCACCCCATCAGCATCACTATAATCATTTTTCAGCTCCTTAGCTAATATGTTTCTACCTTAAGAAAGCTTCGTTGACTCTTTAGACTAAGTTATATTTCCTATTAAGGGCTCACATATCCACCTGTACTTTGTCTATGAAAATGTTCATTATATAATGTTGGTGTGACTTGTTTAATTATCTTCTCCCAGCTCAGTTCTTAAGACTAGACAGTGAAATAAACTCTTAGAAGGCAAGAACCATACATGCTACATTCTTAGTGTTCTGTTCTAAATCTTTTGCCTCTATCAGAGGACATGGTCTATGTCATATTTAAAGGTTGTTGTTGAATAAATAAGTAAATGAATAAATGGTTATGCAGATTTCTAGGTATGATGAACTTCTCAATGAAAAAAACTTCACTTAAAGCTAAAGAAGGTTTAATTAAAGCTAAAGTTTATCTTAATACCCACGGGTTTCAGTCAGTCAGTGAATTAACCAGAATAACCTAATAAAACTGTCTCTAGGTGGTTTTGGAACCATGAAAAATATGTGTATATTTAAAATTTTAATTATCTTAATTCAATGACATTAAAAATTGTGAATGAAGCTATTCTCTAAATATAAGATTTACTCTACAGATAAGGAAAATATTGATCTTAAGTCAGTAAAGTATCTCATTCAATTTTATGGTCTATCTCTTGCTTTCAGACAGATTTATAAATGAATTCTGCTCATCATATTTTTTTCCTCTAGCCATTGAAAAATGTTTAAGACAGTAATTTGATTATTCTAATGAGGTAAAAAAAATCATTGTTTCCCAAAACATTATAAATGAAAAGAGGAAACCTATAATTTAACCCCAGTTAAGGATATTTTCTTTGTTAGGCAGGTGTACACTGTATGTGACTATTTATTTATAATAAATGTTAGACATACTATGCTAGGTTTTTACCTTGGATATGACGGGGATACCTCCTCTGCTACCTCGTAAGGCAGTGTAATGGAGTGGAAAGAACCTGGTTCTTGAAATACATGAATCTGAGTTTAAATTCCATCCCATTCTGTATTGGAACTTAGCAAATTTATTTCTCTGTGGTTCAGATTTCTTTTGTTTTAGGGGAAAAATAATTGTAATAGAGGATGAAGTGAAATAATTGGTGTCATTTGGGTGGAGTATCACTTATTCTTTAGAGAAAAGCTTTCCAAAAATGTATTACTCTGTCTTAAAAACTTCCACTGGAGAAAAGCGCAAATTTGGTTTTAGTTAATATTCCTTTAAATCTAAAAATGGATTATCCTTGCCTATTTATATAGTATTTTGTTCCCAACCTTAAATCCTCTTTGGTCCTAATCTGATGTAGTATATGTTAATGTCTCAGGTTTATCTTTTAAGCAACATTAGGAATTTTGGTTCTACTGCATATGAATTTTGAGTCACTTCTGATGGGGAGAATTCGAAAAAAGGCAGAATTCTTGGAAGAAATAAGAGTTAAAGGAGGTTGCAGAATGGTTGCAAAAAATTAGCCGAGTGTGACGGTGCATGTGTGTAGTTCCAGCTACTCAGGAGGCTGAGGTGGGAGGATCACCTGAGACTGGGGAAGTCAAGGTTGCAGTGAGCCATGAACTCATCACTGCTCTCCAGCCTGGACAACAGAGTGTGACCCTGTCTCAAAATAATAATAATAATAATAGTAACAACTGTCTCTCTCCTCCTAGTTAGGTTTCATTTGATATTTTATTTATAAACTAATTATTAATGAGGAAAGTGTTATTAAATGAAGAGTTTTGTACGTGTTGACTTTAGTTGACGGTAAACAGATTTCAGTTTCTAATGTATACAATGTATATACTTTTGTATGACTATAGGTAGAAAAAAATATACATAAGGAGAAGAACCTCCACTGTATTTAGTGAACTTAAACTTTCTCCTTGCATTTATTATCAATGTGAATTATTAATGTGAATTATTTATTATTAATGTGAATTATTATTTACTGAAGCCATAGCAGTAAATAAGATGTATTTTTTCAATTTATAGTTAAATATTACAATTTAAATTTGCTAATAAAATTTTACCTTCTCTATTAAATACTTAACATATTATTTTTATGAATTAAATTTTCTCTAAAATATTTCTAGACTGATAATCATTTATATATGTTATAAATTTTATATACTGATTTTTACTTTCAATAGCTGAATAATTTAAATTATTTTCATTAGCTGAAGTACATTTAACGGTACAGTAAACCATATTTCTTGATTGCTACATTAGAAAGAAAAGAAATTTATCTTTTATGTCATTAATCTCTTTTAATGGATATATAATTTCTGTGGGCTGTTCTTTATTAGTAAATTCATACTTTCTGTATAATCCATTTAAAAATATTTGTATAGCTTAGAGTTGAAGGCTTCTTAAATTTGTTTTTGTATTTCAGGCTTTCTGTATCAATGTATGTGCTACTAATTTTGAAAGAAGAACAAAGCCCCTGTGAGCTATACTGTAGATGTTAATGACATTGTTAAAATGATGACAGATTGCTTTAATGTTGGATATGCACTTAATTGGAGGAAGTGTAACAAAATACGCTATTTCATATTATTTAAAAGAGTCAGTCAAGAGCCATCACCCACTTGCAGTTGCATCTTTACCCAAATCATAAAGCATGTGAAGTATTAAAACTGATAGAAATTGCAAGGAGCATGTATTCATGCACTGTACATTCATCTAGACAACCCATTAAATAGTGTTTGTTAACCTTTAATTCAGATGTCTACAATAAGATAATATAATGTAAAACACAAGTCAATGGAGGGTCATAAAACTGTTTCTGCTACAGTTTTTATTAGCCTGGTATTTGATGCTGAATACAGTTAAACCCTGAAGCAAGTCTTGTATACAAGTATGGAATCAATATATTCTGATACAAATTTAATCTATTAAATATATGACAAGTATTATGTTTATTGCTAGGATCCATTAAAATATAGACGTTGTTGTTAAATGTCACCACATCCTACTCTATATCATGGGCTTGCCCTTGCAGTTGAGAGAACCCATGGGGGCTCTTGGCTGCACCTTCTAACTTAGGTTGCCATAAAATCCAGTGTTGTTTAGAGCATTTTTAACTTAATTTTTATGTTAGCTGTGATATAAGGAAAGGATATGTATATACACATAGATACATATTTTGCATAGACAAAGGACAAGAACATCCTTCTAAAATGGGTGGAGGATTACGGATATCTAACTTATGTTATTTTCACTTATTTGTATTTTAGTTTTTATGTAATGAACATACGTTCTTGCATATTAATAATTTTTAATTAAGTTGACTATTGAATAGAAAAAGTGATGATAAAACTGCATTAATCTCCTGCTCATGTTCACAAAACTATCTGTTGCAATCGGAAAATTAGATACCATCTTAGAGAGGGGCTTTAATTGAAGTTTAACATTCATTTGATCAGTCAGAGAAACTATGTATATTATAATATTTGCTCAACATTGATGGAGATTACCTTTTCATGTTCTTCCAAATACAACAGTTCAGAGTGATGACAAGCTTATGAGTAGTAGCCATCAAGATATTCATACGGCCCCTCAACACTGCAAATTGATGACACCAGCTCTCAAACTTTGGATAGAGTCAGAAAATGGAGTTCATTTTCTATCTGTTAGACTCTCATCTTCCCTGGATAAGCATTGATAAGCATTCAAGATTTTCCTTGAAAAGATGACCTGAATTGGAAATAAAGTAGAATAGTTAGGAAACTTCAAACCATAACCTTCACACTAAATGAATGTGGTTGACACAGCTTATAAATCTACTTAGGGAAGGAGCACAAAGTCTTGAGTGCTTTCCCTCGTAAGTCCTTTCCATCTTTCCATTCCTATGCCTATACACATTCATACACATACACACACACAGACATTTACATTTAAATTTTCAAGTCCTCCAGAACCAAGTTTATTTACATAAGTCCTCTGAAGTGATAAATGTGTATTTGTCTTACAAGAAAACAAGTGTATTTTTCATTTCTACCAGTTAATCAGGAGCCATTTTTGCCTCTGATTTTGTAGCCTATTTTTCTTCATAGTTGTGAGCCCAGTCTTACTTTAAGAATGATAGTACAACTTGCTTTGCTGTTTGAGGATTTTAAGATACTGAACCATTAATTCCCTCATCTTTATCATAAACTCACACCTAAAAATAGCGTAATCATGTGGTCTATTTACCTAATTCATTTAAACATATACAGGTTTCACATGGGCCATTATATAAGGTAATTCTCATTTTCCTCTTTCCCAAAGCTTATGACTTCTTAATATCTAGATATTAAATTTTTAGCTTATACTTGTAAACCATAAATGTCTGGGGCTGACTCTAGAATAAGTTGTATAATGTTAAAACAGCTAATCAAATCCAAGGATTTGCATTTAAATACATTATTAGCCCTCTTAAGATTTTCTTATCCCTTATAATTAGTTCTATGAGATTATTTACATTATTTATGCTGTTACATAGAGCCACTTCTTCCAATTAAATTGAGTGTCTACCAACACTTCAACCATTTTATTAGGATAGTGGTCAAGTTGCTGTGTCTTTAATTAAGAACCACTATAATTTGGACTGGTTAGTTATTTATAACGGTGAGTAGGTTGTTAATGGAATTGAAAGTAAAGTTTCTTTTCCCTCTTAAAAAATTTTCTGTCTGTAAACTGCATGCCAATAACTCTACCTAAATGTTTGAAAATTTTACACAGCTTCAACGATTTGCTTTCGAAAACATTTTATTCCAGTCACATTCTTCTCTGATTTTCAAATCACTGGATAGTATCTTCTCCTGAACCAACATGTAAATAGCCTGTTGGAAGACTAGAGAAAGATCAACTTCGTATTCGTTTTCTACTGTGGTGTAACAAATTACCACAAAACTAATAGCTTTCAAGAAACTCATTTATTGTGGCATAGTTTTTGTGGGGTGGGAGTCAGAGGACTATAGTCAAGGGATTGAACAGGGTGTGTTTCTTTCTAGAGCTTGAGGCCCCTGATCAAGTGCACATGATTTTTGGCAAAAATCTGTTCTTGGCGCTTGTAGGACTAAGGTCTCCTTTTGTTTGGCTGTCTGTAGCCAGGGGTCACCCTCAGGTCCTATAAGTTACCCCAGTTCCTTCCAATGTAACCCTCCCACACACCTCTCATGACTAGAAGCTTTCTTTCTGGGGCCAACAAGAGAATCGGACCTCAGAGAAGGTCTAAGCACTCTGTTAAAGGGCTTCAAACTGATTAAGTCAGACAATCTCTCTTCTGATTAGTTTAAGTCAACTTGATCTGGGCCGTTCATTACATATGCAAAATCCCTTCACCTTTGCCATGTAGGGAAACAGAATCATGAATCCTTTTTTAATGTGAAGTGCACTTGAAATGTTGCTGTTTCTTACACCATTGCATCTCAGAAGATCCCTTTGCTTGAAAGCCGTTATATTTATAATTAAAGGTAATGGCTCCAGCATATTGAACATCTATTATGTATTAGCACATACTTTTTAATCCTTAAAAACACTCTACAAAGGCATTATTGTGAACATCTTTTAAAGAAACCAAAGATCAAAAAGTTTATATTATTTTCTGAATGTCACAAAGACTGTAGGGATAGAGGTCTTAATGTGAATTAGGTTTTTCTAATTCTAAAGTCTGTGTTTTCGTTTCCCCTTTTATTTCGCAGTATTGAAAAATCACATGGATTAGGTAAAGTTGACATAGCCCATCTGAAAAGTCCACTGAGCCCCAAATGACCAATGTATTGTCAAATCTCGCTCATAACAATTTCCCCTAGCACCTTGGGATTTGGTATTAAAAAGGATTTAAATCTATACCCAGGAAGAAATCTTTGTGCTAAATAGGTGTGTGTATCTCATTGCACCATTGATGTCAAGCATTGAAATGGTAATAGATTATACCACTTCCAGAGATGTGGTGGAAGACAGATGGAAAAAGGGTTAAAATACCTATACGCTTTATTACAGCTTAATGTGATTTTCTCCATTGCTCCATGTGAGCAAAAAAGCTCTAAATACTTCTAGAATATTCCCTAGAGTCAATCACTTTGTTAATGCACAGTAAAGTTTGAGGCTGTATTCTTTCTAAAGAAAGCTAAGTTTACTAGGACATGGGAGTTACAGCACCACCCCCACCCTCTTCACCCCTTTCTAATATTAATCTCACAAGAGCTACAGTTCAGTTTCTTAGATCATTGATCCCTTTAGGGGAAAAAAAAAATCTTCCTTATGAGAATCACGGCTTGTATAGATCAGCCCTCACAGAAGATTTTAACATAAATCTGGTTAAGGATTTTAGAATACATTTTGTGCAATACTGCACAGAGGATTCATGGGCAGCGTACCTATGAATATATGGAGAGTTACAAGGAAAACTTTCTAGGCTTTCGTGATAGGCCACTGATTCCAGAAAACCAACAAGAACTTTGCCCAGTAGTGCTTAAGGTGCTATATCTAGTCAAAGTATCCTTGGCTTTGTAACATATGTATTTAAGGGCTGGGAATTTATAAGCAGCTGGTAATAAATATCGATGTACAAAAACTTTGTTAGGCACTGCACTTAACTGTCAAACATCAGTGAAAATGTATGGCAGGTACCCACTTTCTATGAATCTCTGTCTTTTGAATTATTTCCTTAATTATTTTGTTTCCTAAGTTACCTTCTTTCTTCCACAAACGAAAGTATTGTTTAAATCGTTATGTACCGGAGTCTTTTAAAGGAAGCACTGCACAAGGCACATAAGTAGTAATTTGTTAAAAGGCTAATTTATCAAGACTCAGTGGGGCATGACCTCATAGCACATGCCATTCATTGCTTATGCCAGATTGGTGCTTGGCATAACTATATCCTAGAAAAAAAAATGTTGTCTCTACCCGGCAGAGTCAATCCATGAAAATTTCAGCTACTGTTAAGATTCCTCAAAGACAAGCCAATAAATATAGCATGCTATTGGGAACACTTACTAGCAATCTCAGGAGTGGAAGGATCCACTAATTTTTTAAGGAATGCACTTTTAGTGACATTGTGACCCTAAAAGATGATGTCATTTTTTAGCTAACTTTATAGCATGATCTAGATAAATATGTGTCAGGCATAAGGCCAGGCACTCTACATACTTGCCTCACTTATTCCCCATAACCTGATGAGAAATATATTATATTCCTAATGTTGGCAAAGATAAAAATGAACCTGCTTCAGGAATCTAGAATCTAGAAGCTGCTCCAGGGTAAGGACAATAGATTATTAACCATACCCTTCAGTGCCTTTCACAAGAGCTGATATAGAGTAAGGGTTTAATAAATATTGGATGATTTGTGTTTTCACATCTGGAGGGGCAGAGATAGAATTCAAACCCAATTCCATCTAGCCCTAAGGGAAATGCCAATCAATTAAGCCATGTGGATAAGTATAAAGTGGTATATTTATATATAAAAGCCAGATTGATAGTTAATGTGATCTGACCACCAAAATAACCACAGATCTTAGAAATGTAGCTTCCTTAATTACAGTCTACTATACTCAGGCTAGCCGATGTGAAGATATTTTAAGACTATCATCAATGTTCTCTCTCTTTCTCTCTCCATAGATATATTATATATGTATATGTGTGTGTGTGTATGTATAAAATTGGCAACCCAGATTTTTCTTCTGAACCCTACATTAGGTTATCCAACTGATTGATTTAACACATATATGTAGAAATCTTAAAATTATCTCTGACCCAAATAAAGAAGCAAGCACCAAACAGGGCAGAGAACATGGCTGTCTTGTTCATGACTGTTTCCTCAGAGTTTAGTATGATTCCTGACATAAAATAGGTTTTTAAGAAATCTAAGTTGAATGACTAGATGGATGAATTAACAAACTCATAATCTTCTCCATTGCCTGGTAGTTCTGTCCAAATCTGCTTTTTCTCTTGTAGTTCTTACAAAGAAAAGGCACCATCTTCTTCCTGGTAACTCAGTTCTAAAATCTTGAACTTATCCTCTACATTCGATTTCATTTGCTCTATGACACTCAAACGTAATTGATGACCACATAGTATCATGTGCCTCTCCTAGAGTCCAATACTCTTATAGTCTTTCCTTCTATCCCAACTGATATTGCTGTAGTTCAAATCCATACCTTTCTTTTCTGAACTGTTGGGCTAGCTTCCTAGATGATGTCTATGCCTCCAGTTTTGAAATCCTCCCATTTATCTTTCATACTATGCTGTTATCTTCTAAAATACAAATCTAATTATGTTATTTATAAGTTTGGAATCATTCCATAATTTCACCCTATCCAGACAATTATCATTAATACCTCAAATGAGGCAAACAACAACAATGACAACAGCGTACCTGACAATGGATCCCGTGATTACTACCATGTATTTTGGATTCTATTCCAGCCAGCTTTTTTTCTAGAAACTTTCATCACCAATTTTTCCTACCAATTAACCTCTTCTGCTCGACTGGAGCTATCCCATGAACTTTTAAATGTAACACGATTTCTATGTTTAAAAAAATGTAAATCTTCCTTTGCCCAACAGGAACCTAATTTTACTTCCCTCTTTGTAAGCAATTGTCTGTCTCCTGTGCATTTTTCATCCTCACTAACAATGCCATCGACCTCCCTGTTTCTAATTCCAATATTCAGAACTCATAATCCTTAACCTCTTAGCAATATCTGAGAGTTATTCACCACTTTTTTCTTCCTGGAATGATTCCCTTATTTCAGCTTTGTGACATCACACTCTTCTTGTTTTCCTTCCATCTCTCTGGTTATTTTTCATTTTTCATTGCAGCCTCTCTCCTCTATCTGGCCATTAAATGATAGCTTCTGAGAGCACAGTGATAAACCCTTTGTTTACTTGACATCTCCATCTGATATCTCAAAGTAACTTCAAATATGCTTACGATGTATCAGATGCAATGCTAAGAAACAATAATAATGAGAAAAAGCAGCCCTTGAAATCTGAGAGTTGGTCTCACTTACAGCTGGGCCATAATATTCTCCTATTGGGCATATATAATCTTCCTAACATCAGACAAGGTCACTCTGAGACCATAAGACAAAAGACCACTTCATAACTTTGTCTAAGCACAGACAAAAACAAGATCACTGTGCAAAATACCACTCTCCTGGCTAATATGAGTGGCCACTACTTAACCAATTACCACTTTAGCCATGCTGTAGCCTGCCTTCTCTGAGGATAATTTTTGAGATACCCAGTAATAGAATTCCCCCAACTTCCTGACACCACCCCTGTCTAGAGCCAAACTCTGCTTTCTTGGATCGTCCCCTAAATCTTTCAACCAAAGCCCAAATTCTAGGATAGGTCTTCCTTAACACTTCTTACTGAGGAGCCCATGGCTCCCCATGTTGTGCGTTCTATTTCACTATAACAAGCAAGAAACCCAACTTACTCAATTACAAGTGTGTTCTTAATGGTCATTGGCTGGAGAATATGACAATGCTAAGAAATTTAAGTGGATTACTTTATTTAATTTTTGTAACAACTCTATAAATTGTAATTACTGTTATCATAATCTTTCCCAGTGTACATGTAAGCAAATTGAGGCTTATAGATGTTTTAAAAAAAATTCCCCAAGATCACATGATTAGTAAGTCATAGAGGAATTCAACACAGCCAATTTAGATCTAGAGCTAGAGCTGGTAAAACATACACTAGACTTCCTCAATACATATTATTTGAATAAATTGAATAAATGAATTACCACTTATAACTCAGTATCTCCTAACTTTAGACATGTGGAATTACTTGCTGTTTTGTGCCTTAATATAGTTTATTTAACCCCAAATTTCCAAAATATCACAATTTCAACATATAATCAGCATAAAAATTGTTAATGAGATGTTTAACATTCTTTATAGAAAACTAAGTGTTTGAGATCTGGTATCTATTTTACATTTTCAGCATCTTTCAACATTGACTAGCCACATTCCAAAAGTTTAAAAAGACACATGTAGTTAGACAGCACAGCTTTAGAATCCTGAAATATTTCTGGCTTTAGGAAATTTAGTCATGGGTTTTTAATTTTAGCAAGAATTGTCACCCACCCAAAACACAGGAAGTCAATAATGACACTAAATATTCTCTTACTTTACAATGTACCTAGTAGTATGATTAAATTTCTTCTTTTTCATTATTTTTTAAAATATTTACTTGCTTGATAACAGCTTAGCAGTGCTGTGATAGATTCAGTTATCATAACGTAATCAGTGTATATTTGCAATGTATTGACTTGGCTTAAAAGACTGTATCTTGCTGTCAAATTTCAATATCATAGTCTCATTGTAACTTCAAATTTATCAAGAAAAGCTTTTGCTTATCAGAACTTTCACATTTCCAAGAATAGAATAATGTATTTCCAAAATATACTGACAGAGATATGCAACTGAAAATATTAGAGACATTTCATTATTTTCTTCTTCAGGGTGCAATAGCTCAGCATCACCTTATCATAAAAACAGTAATAGACAAATTGGATCCAGGTGCTCCCAGATGAAATTTTTGATAATCAAAAGAAATCAGTGTGCTCAACTCTTAAATATTTAAAAGACCACTGAGGTCACTTGAAAACTTATGATACTGATTCCTATTAGAAAGATGATGGAAATAATAGTCATATTTAAAGAAAACTTATCCCATAATGATAGAGCAATAAAATGAAACCGTAACTGTTACTCTCATGAATATACATTTGTTATAGACAAATTTTCAATTTATTGGAGATGATGGATATAACTCAAATAGATTTGAATAAAAGATCCTCTGATTCATAGATAGAGAAGATGTCTTCTTAGTAGGCAGAAGTAAAAAGTTATCCCTGGCTTTTGTTATTGCAAACTAACTTCTGAAAAATGTTATTAGTCTCCAACTCTAAATTACCAAGAATAATGTCAAAAATAAACAGATTCACAGGTCTTTCTGTGCATGTTAATGTCATATAAGTTACACGTATGCACCTAGAATATTTATGTATAAGCAATGTTCATATTTTGTTCTTGTCAGTGATCTTATATTTAGATTTTTTCTCCTCATTACCATTCATTTGTTATCAGTAACTTAAGATTTTTAGGAATGTAGTAAAGACCACCCATGAAGACAAAATAAGAGTTTATGGGATGGGTGACAGCCACAAGAAATTTGGAAAGATTTCCAGTTACTCCTGAGCATAACTGATCAGTACTAGATGGGCAATGTAAAATTGATTCACACCTTGATGACTTTGATAAATTCCCTTTATGAGCCATCCTCCCCTGTAATCCCTGTTTTTTTTTTTCTTTACTGTCCCATGTCTTTCCCCTGTGTCAGCTCCAAATGCACAGTGGCACAGGCATCCACGACTTTGAGAGGTGACCTCAGATAAGGGAGCTAGGAAAGGAGCTCCTGACATAGAAGAATGTGGGGAGAATCCCAGTTATTGTTTATCTCATTTTTTGCCACTGTACCCCAGTCGCTTGGAACTGCACGAGAAGGCAGGAAGGCTAAAACTCTGAAATAATCTCATCTTCCTGATCAGAGGAATTGGGAACTAGAAACCTCTTAACTGGGGCTTCTGACAACTAGAGAGAATGGCAGAAAATCCTGGCAGGAGAGAGCTGAAGGACATCCTTCATTTTCTATTTGAACTGAAACGAATACTGAGATCACCACTAAGCAGTGCATGTGTCAAACCTAACCAAAGAAACACAGCAAAGATTTTCAAAACCGAACTTCAAAATAAACACCTGTTATCTGAGTTTTAAATAATGACAATGTATGTCCTTTATAATTTAAAAATAAAAAAAATGAAAAGAAAAGCTGATATATCTAAAATAATGTAAAGTGAAGTAGTCTAAGGCAAAAGCAATACTAGAGATGGGAGTAGTTAGAGTTCCAAATTTGTATGCGTCTAATAAAACAATGTCAAAACATATAAAGCAAAAATTGGCAGAATTACAAGAAGAAATAGACAAATACAAAACCATAGTAAGAAACTAAGAAAGCTGTTTCTTAGTAACTGATGGACTAATCACACCTTTTTAATACTCATATATTTTAGATACATCTCTTATTTACCCTATGGGTATTTATTTTTAATTCAGTCTGACAATCTTTGCCTCTTAACTGGAGCCTTTAGTATACTGTCATGTATCACTCAATGACAGAGATGCTTCCCAAGAAATGCCTTGTTAGGCAATTTTGCTCTTGTTTGAATAGCAAACCTAGATAATATAGCCTGCTACACACCTAGGCTATTTGGTATATCTTGCTGCTCTTAGCCTACAAACCTGTTCAGCATGTTACTGTGCTGAATACTGTAAATAGTTGTAACATAGTGGAAAGTATCAGTATTTGTGTACCTAAATATATCTGAACATAGAAAAGGTACAGTGAAAATATGGTATTACAATCTTGTGGGATCACTGTTGTATATGCAGTTCATCATTGACTGAAACGCTGTTATGTAGCACATGACTATATTTCAGCATACATACTGAAATATTTGAGTTTAAATCTATTATCATACTAAATGTTTTCTATTTGCTCCACATTCACTGGAGTTCTTTCTGGTTTGAGTTTCTTTTTAGTCCCATTTTCCCTCCTATTAGCTTGAAATGTATACAAGTTTAATATTTTAATGGTTTCTCTGAATATGACAACATGAATTATTGTTTATGAAAACCTAATATTAATGGGCACTTTTAACCTTTTTAAAGGTCAGTGTAAAGACTTTGAAATATCTTAACCATATTTTCCTATTACTGACTTGCATGCCTTTGTCTTAAATATAAATGAATGAGTACAAAAATAAGTAATTACTATTGTATTAAGCCATCAGTGTTAATTTATATTTACCCAAACCTTTAAACTTTTAATACTTTTCCTTGGATCTCTCAGCTTCCATCGTGGATAATTACCCATTTACCTAAAGAATAGCAGAGAGTACTTTTTTAAAAATGCTTTTCATTTTCAATAGTTTTCACAAATAACTTTACTACACGTTGAGTATTCTTTATCTGAAATGTTTGAAACCAGAAATGTTTCAGATTTGGATTTTTTTTGATATTTGCATATATGTAATGAGATCTCTTGAAGATGAAACCCAAGTCTAACCACAAAATTTATTTGTTTCATATACACTCTATGCACATAGTCTGAAGGTAATTTTAAACAATATTTTAAATAATTTTGTGCACGAAACAAAGTTTGTGTACACTGAACCATCAGAAAGCAACGGTGTCATTGTCTCAGCCATCCATGTGGTTGTTTGTCATCATCATTATTCCCAACTGAATTTATGTGCTACTAATAAGTAATCATTTTCTTACTCTTACTCATGCATAAATACTTAACAGTAAAAAATATGACATACCATTAGTACAGAAAAAAATAATGTGTTCAGGTTAACTAAGCAGCACAGTGACATCATCAGAATACCTGGATCAGCTATTAAAAGGTTACAGAACCCTTTTTTTTTGATGGGAAGAAACATCAGAAGCAGTTGAGGGACCAGAAAGTGGGCCCTCTAGGGATAAAGAGGCATTATGCTGGATGGCTTTTATTTTTATTTTTTTATTTTTTATTTTTTATTATTATTATATTTTAAGTTTTAGGGTACATGTGCACAATGTACATGTTAGTTACATATGTATACATGTGCCATGCTGGTGTGCTGCACCCATCAACTCGTCATTTAGCATTAGTTATATCTCCTAATGCCATCCCTCCCGCCTCCCCCCACCCCACAACAGTCCCCAGAGTGTGATGTTCCCCTTCCTGTGTCCATGTGTTCCCATCGTTCAATTCCCACCTATGAGTGAGAACATGCGGTGTTTGGTTTTTTGTCCTTGCGATAGTTTACTGAGAATGATGATTTCCAATTTCATCCATGTCCCTACAAAGGACATGAACTCATCCTTTTTTATGGCTGCATAGTATTCCATGGTGTATATGTGCCACATTTTCTTAGTCCAGTCTATCATTGTTGGACATTTGGATTGGTTCCAAGTCTTTGCTATTGTGAATAGTGCCTCAATAAACATACGTGTGCATGTGTCTTTATAGCAGCATGATTTATAATCCTTTGGGTATATACCCAGTAATGGGATGGCTGGGTCAAATGGTATTTCTAGTTCTAGATCCCTGAGGAATCACCACACTGACTTCCACAATGGTTGAACTATGCATGGGCAAGGACTTCATGTCTAAAACAGCAAAAGCAATGGCAACAAAAGCCAAAATTGATAAATGGGATCTAATTAAACTAAAGAGCTTCTGCACAGCAAAAGAAACTACCATCAGAGTGAACAGGCAACCTATAAAATGGGAGAAAATTTTCACAACCTACTCATCTGACAAAGGGCTAATATCCAGAATCTACAATGAACTCAAACAAATTTACAAGAAAAAACAAACAACACCATGAAAAAGTGGGCAAAGGACATGAACAGACACCTCTTAAAAGAAGACATTTATGCAGCCAAAAAACACATGAAAAAATGCTCATCACTGGCCATCAGAGAAATGCAAATCAAAACCACAATGATATACCATCTCACACCAGTTAGAATGGCAATCATTAAAAAGTCAGGAAACAACAGGTGCTGGAGAGGATGTGGAGAAATAGGAACACTTTTACACTGTTGGTGGGACTGTAAACTAGTTCAACCATTGTGGATGGCATTTAAAAATGTTTTCTTGGCCGGGTGCGGTGGCTCATGCCTGTAATCCCAGCACTTTGGGAGGCCAGGGCGGCAGATCATGAGGTCAGGAGTTCAAGACCAACCTAGCCAACATGGTGAAACCCTGTCTCTACTAAAAATACAAAAATTAGCTGGTTATGGTCCACATGCCTGTAATCCCAGCTACTTGGGAGGCTGAGGCAGAAGAATTGCTTAACTGGGCAATTGAGAATTGAGAATTGAGAACTGGGCAATTGAGAATTGAGGCAGAAGAATTGCTTAATTGGGACCCAGGAGGCAGAGGTTGCAGTGAGTTGAGATCACGCCACTGCACTCCAGCCTGGGCTACAGAGCGAGACTCCGTCTCAAAAAAACAAAACAAAACAAAACAAAACAAAGTTAAAAATGTCTTCTCCATATGCCTTAACAATGTTTTTTGTCTCAGAAGTATCTCTTTTATTTTATTTTTCATTTTTTTTGAGATGGAGTTTCACTCTTGTTGCCCAGGCTGGAGTACAGTGGCATGCTCTCGGTTCACCATAACCTCTGCCTCCGGAGTTCAAGCGATTCTCCTGCCTCAGCCTCCTGAGTAGCTGGGATTACAGGCATGTGCCACCACGCCCAGCTAACTTTGTATTTTTAGTAGAGACGGGGTTTCTCTATGTTGGTCAGGCTGGTCTTGAACTCCCGACTTCAGGTGATCCGCCCACCTTGGCCTCCCAAAGTGCTGGGATTACAGGCATGAGCCACTGCGCCTGGCCCTCTCTTTGTTTTTATAAGCTGACGTTATTTCTTTTTCTGTTATGAGTGAATACTGCTCTAGTCCTTCTACAAGCCCATCACACATTTTAACCATGTCATTTATGAGCACTTGGCTGTGGTGTTAAAAACATCATCTTCATCTTCGCTATTATCACAATCACCTTAATTCAGAATCACTTTGGCTATTTCCTTATTGATTAATGAATGAAAATCTGAAGTCTCATTATCAATGTTAAAAAACTCTTTGATATCCACTTCTTCCAGCTTACTGAGAGACTCTGAAAGTATATTTTGCATATGTAGGAAGGTCAGATATTTTTTTGCATTTGACATATGGAATCCTTCAAAGTCACCACTTTATTTAACATCATCACTGAACATAGTCACAAGGCAGGACTTGTGCCTGGCCTGCATAAAACTGGGTCATTCGTCACTGTATTCCAAGCATTGACAACAGCATAGATGGTATCATTCATGCTAACTTCCTTTTGAAAACCTTCCACACCCACACCTCTGTGCTGTTATTAGCATGCTGTTTAAGAGAGTGTTTTTATATTTACTCTTCACTGATCTAAGGATATACTGGTATCTGAGTGAATTAATGAAGTCACATTTGGGGAAAGTACATCGCATAAACATTATTTTTATGACCATTTTAGTTGGAGAATGAGCAGAATAGTTGTCAAGGATAACAAAATCTTGCATTCATTATCTAGTCCAGTTTCCCTGCAGTGACCATGAGTCATTGGTACAAAATGTTTGTGAAACTAATTAGAAAAGATGCCCTGACTCCCTCTTCAATAAATGGTGCTGTGACAAGTGGCTAGCCATAGGCAGAAGAATGAAACTGGACCCCTAACTTTCACCATGTACAAAAATGAACTCAAGATGGTCTAGAGATTCAAATGTAAGACCTCAAACTTTAAAAATTCTAGAAGAAAACTTAGGAAATACCCTTCTCAACATCAGCTTTGGCAAAGAATTTATGGCTAAGTCCTCAAAAGCAATTGCAATAAAAAATTGATAAGTGGAGCCTAGTAAATCTAAAGAGCTTCTGCATAGCAAAAAATTAAAATGAAAAATTAACAGCTCCATCTTCATCCATGTCCCTGCAAAGGACATGAACTCATCCTTTTTTATGGCTGTATAGTATTCCATGGTGTATATGTGCCACATTCTCAGCAAACTATCACAAGGACCGAAAACCAAACGCCACATGTTCTCACTCATAGGTGGGAATTGAATAATGATAACACTTGGGCACAGGGCGGGGAACATCACACACTGGGGCCTCTTGGGGGGTGGGGGACTGGGGGTTAGCATTAGGAGAAATACCTAATGTAAATGACGAGTTGATGGGTGCAGCAAACCAACATGGCACATATATACCTATGTATCAAACCTGCACGTTGTTCACATGTACCTAGAACTTAAAGTATAATAATTAAAAAAAAATTAACAGCTCCAACCCCACCGGAAACAAGAAGAAAAAAATATTAACAGAGTCAACAGGCAGCCTACAGAATGGGAGAAAATACTTGCAAACTATGTATCTGACAAAGATCTTATATCCAGAATCTACAAGGAACTTAAAAGCAAGAAAACAAAACAAACAAAAACATTAAAAAATGGCCAAAGGCATGGATAGACTCTTCTCAAAAGAAGACATAAGTTGCCAACAAACATATAAAAAATGCTCATCATTACTAATCATCAGAAGAAATGCATCAGAGCAATGCAAATCAAAACCACAATGAGATACTATCTCACACCAGTCAGAATGGCTGTTATTAAAAAGTCAAAAAGGGCAAGACTGCAGAGAAAAGGGAATGCTTCCACACTGTTTGTGGGAATGCAAATTTGTTCAGCCACTGTGAAAGCAGTTTGGAGATTTATAAAAGAGAACTACCATTTGATCCTGCAATACCATTACTGTGTATATACCCAAGGGAATATAAATTATTCTACCAAAAAGACACATATAGGCATATTTTCGTTGCAGTGCTATCCACAATAGAAAAGACATGGAATCAACCTATGTATCCCTCAATGGTGGATTGAATAATGAAAATGTGGCACATATACCACCATGGAATACTTTGTAGCCATAAAAAAGAATGAAATCATGTCCTTTGCAGCAACATGGATGGAGCCGGAGGCCATTATCCTAAGTAAATTAACTGAAGAACAGAAAAACAAATACCTCAGGTTCTCACTTATAGGTGGGAGCTAAAAATTGAGTACACATAGATAAAAAGATGAGAAGAATAGATACTGGGTATGGGACTACAAGAGTTGGGAGGGAAGGAGGGGGCCGTGGGTTGAGAAACTATGTATAGGGTACAATGCTCACTAACTGGGTTACGGGATGATCCATGACCCAAACCTCAGCGTCGCACAATATACCCATGTAACAAAACTGCACATGTGCCCCCTAAATCCAAAATAAAAGTTGAAAAAAAATAAAGGGATGATGCATGGAAAAAAATTAATTACAAAAAGAAGAGAAAATATGTCCCCGATGATCCATGGTTTTAGTTAGCATAACAACCGCAGGTGGTAAGGAAGTCATTCCTTGAAAAAGGCAAGGACACAAAGCTTTTTCCTGTCACAGAAAGTTACATTTAACGTGTGCCTGCTGCAATAGCACATCCCAGCACAGTTATTTTGTCCTTGGCATCCTGAATTCCTATAGGACATCATCTGTTATCATTGTCTTTCTGTGGCAATAATACCAAAACAGTGATCTTTCATCAGCATTATATACTTGTTCTACTGTCAGATTTTCACCAGGGATAATGCTGGCAAAGTCATCAATGAATTTCTCTACTGTTTCATGACTAGCAGATACTTTATTACCACAAATCTTTAAAAATTTAATGCCATGTATTTTCTTAAATTTCTGCAATCAGCCTGTTGAGTATTCACAGTTCCCTTCAATTTTTCAGTTCATCCTGGTAGATATTTGCTTGTTTCATTATCAGCATACCATGAAGTAGCATGTGTTTACTGAGACTCTGATGGATCCACTCTTTCAACATATGATTGCGATTTTCAGTTTTAGCTTTATGCACTTTCTTTTCTTTCTTTCTTTCTTTCTTTCTTTCTTTCTTTCTTTCTTTCTTTCTTTCTTTCTCTTTCTTTCTTTCTCTTTCTTTCTTTCTTTCTTTTTTTCTTTCTTTCTTTCTCTCTCTCTCTCTCTCTTTCTTTCTCTCTCTCTCTTTCTCTCTTTCTCTCTGTCTTTCTTTTCTTTCTTTCCTTCCTTCCTTTTTTTTTTTTTTTTTTGACAGGATCTCACTCTGTAGCCCAGACTGGAGTATAGTGGTGTGATCTCGGCTCACTGCAACCTCCACATACCAAGCTCAAGCAATTCTCCTGTCTTAGCCTCCCAAGTAGCTGGGATTACAGGTGTGTGCCCCTATCACCCAGCTAACTTTTGTATTTTTTGTAGAGATGGGGTTTCACCATGTTGGTCAGGCTGGTCTTGAACTCCTGACCTCAAGTGATCCACCCACCTTGGCCTCTCAAAATGCTGGGATTACAGGCACGAGCCACCATGCCTGGCCTATGCAGTGTTTTTATATTTTCCATTGACTTCTGTTTATCACCTTCAGCATAAAACTTCATCAGTCTATCCTTTTGTTTCTTCAGTTCATATATGATGGTTATTTGAACACCATACTCTTCTTTCACACTGCTGTCTAGTTTCTCCAGAAGCTTGACTTTCTGTGCTATAGGTAATGATAAATGTTTCCTCTGTTTCTTATCACTGTTACCAACAGTGCCAGCCTTTTGAACATTTTTAACAATACCTATACCATAGAACAGAGACTAAGCAAACAAACAAAAAAACCACAGTGAGTAATGCATGTAGGTCTTGTTCATGTAAGTCATCGTGGGGAACCTGCCATTGGTCCATCTGGTCTTTATTAGTGTCATTTTATGACACTTTGTGGGTGTGCTTCTGTAGGGAAATCTGAGCATGTAAGGAAAAGATACATTGCAGCTGAAGAGACCTGGGAAGGTCTTTTTTCCCTTGGAGACACTGAATAAACTGTGTGTTGTGTGCCTGAGTTTAGACTGCAACCCATCATGTAAGGCCAGGTGTGAAATTTTATAAATGTGGCATAATGTTGGCACTCAGAAAGTTTTGGATTTTGAAGCATTTACGATTTCTGATTTTCAGATTAGGAATGTTCAATCTGTAGCAGGCACCCAGTTTCTTTTTAATCCTATAACACTTTTTGCATCTGTGGCTTGAAGTCTTTCAGCAGTATTAGAAAGTTCACAGCTATTAGCTTTTCAAGTATTACTTCTTCCTCATTCTCTCCCACACCTTTTTGGATTCCAGTATCTTAGTATTTTCTATGGTATAATCAATGTCACATACACTATTTTCTGTATTTTTCTTTCTTTTGTCTTTTCTTGTTTCACCTTGTATATTTTCTTCTGACATATGCTCCAGTTTCCTAATAGTTTTTTACAGCAATAACTGTCCAGTGTTAACCTATCTGTTGAGTTCTTATTTGGGTTATTATATATGTATTTTTATATGTTTAAGTTCCAGAATTTCCATTTTATTCTTCTGTATATTTTGAGGTTTCTGATGATTTTTTAAATTTTTTTCTTTTATATCCTTGAACATCATAAATATAGCTGTTATAAATTCTATGTAGGATAACTCCAACTCCATTTTCCATTTGGGTAGGTTTTATTGTCTGTTGTTTTTTTCTGGCTTTATTTGTGTTGAGTTGGCTCTTTGTATCTGTTTGTTTATTTATTTAATGTGCTAGACCTTATGTTTGCAGAGTTGTTTGTAGAAATAATGTAAAGCCATTACTTTAAATGGCAAAAACCACAATTACTTTTGCACTAACCTATGCTTTCCTACATAGAGGAGTCTTGTTTGTTTATGTCAGGCAACTGGTGACCCTATCAGTATGGACTCACCATAGTCCAAGTTTAGCAATGGAGATAACTCAAAGCTGAGCTGCAGTACCTGTAATAATCTTTCTACTTGCAGCTTACCCTATTACTTCTGAATCACCAGCACTACCTTCCTGCTGGCAGTTGAACATCAATTTTTTTTTTATTCTAGCCCATGGAAGCCATAAAAACTAGGGCTCAGTATTTTAGCCATTTAGAGTCACGCTCTGGATTTAGTACAGATCCCAAGAGTGATCCCAAATTGGTAGTGTTGTCCTGAGTAACTCACTTCTCTAAGCTTTTGTCTTCCCTAGAACCTAGGCTGGTGAGTCTTCAGCATTTTGTTACTCTATGATACTTGCAAACAGATTTTACTTTTTCATACTTTTTCTTGCTTTTCTAGTTGTATTTTTAGGAGAGGTTAGACTGATTACTTTGCCCTCCAATTCTAGACTTTGATAAGTTTTTCTCATTTTTGTTAAGCTGAGAGGCTGGTGATAGATTGATGCTGAAAAACCATTTGGTTCACCTCTTTCCTAGTTTTTCAATGATGGTCATGCTTCCCCATAATATGTAGAATATTTCACACCGATTGTCTTGACCTCTGGGTCTCTTCTGAAACTCTGAAATGAGAGAAAGAGTCTCATTTAATATCATTTGTTGTACATTTCTCACATTAAAATTAAATAGTACTTTACAGGGCTTCATATTTCTAAGAGATTTAATTGAGTTTACAAAAATGATATCATTATGTCGAATGTGTTAATAATTTTCTTTTTATATTAAATGTGATTATCTTTTTCTTAAACTATTTTGTCACCTGAAGTAGAAACTAGGTAAGGTAAAAAAACCAAATCAAATTTACACAAGTAAGGCACTGGGCCAAAATAGTTCTTTAGTTTCCTAAGTTGGTTCCTCTTGTTGCCAGCAGTCTATTTACCAATTACCTAAAATTTATTTCTTTTAAAGGAATCAATTCTTCTTTAATAGAGGAATCAATGTTATTTCTGACTTGAGGATATTTAGAACTGAGTTCAGCTGTTTGTGGCCTAATTATACGACTTGGATTCTAGTTATTTTTTTAACAAGTGTTTAACATTGGTAATGTGACTTTGGAAGACTGTCTTTTTAGGCACCTTGCATTTCATCTTGAGAAAGGTCATAAAATAGGCTATCAGAAGTCCCAGGTAAATCAACAAGATCTAGGGATTCCAGAAGATTTTTTGGAGAATTTAAATCTGTTTATTCAACTATTTGTGAGTACTTATTATTTGCTGTATGCTGATGATACAATGGTGAGCACAAGTGATAATGTCTTCATGGAGCTTATATTCTTCTCAGGGTTAGAGATAAATTAAACAAATAAACATACAATAGATCAGCTAGGGATAAATCCTATTCAGAGGGATAATATAAGATTATATTATAGAAATTAATTGGCTATTTGAGATTGAGTGGTTAGTAAGAGGAGATCTTTTTGATATAATATTTAAGATAACATCTAGATGACAAGAAAGAGCCAGTCATAAAAGATCAGGGTGAAGAGTAATCAAGGTAGCGGATGATGAAATGTCCAAAAATGAGAAACATACTGATGTGCTCAAGAAATTGAGAGAATGCCATTAAGATTGGGACAAGACAGAAAGGAAAGATGAAGGAAACATCTTTTTATGTAGGACTTTGCAATTCAGTGTAAAGAGCTTGGATTTTATTATTTTTTAATTGCAGTAGGAAATCACTTGAAGATCTTAAGCATAGAGTAACATGATTTAAGTTTGAAAATGGCAAATATCTGCTGTTTGGGAAATGATTTGTAAGGGCCAAGACCAGTTAGGAGGTGATGGTAGTAGGTCAGGTGAGACATGGTGGTAGTAGTAAAGAAATAGAGAATAGACTATCCAAGGTATATTTTTTGATAGATATGAGGTGGGCAAGGAAATCGAGATACATTGAAGGGTAAATTCAAAGGTAGTCTTTCAGATTGTTGGCTTAAGCAATTGGGTAGATGGGGCTGCCATCTACTGAGATGGGGATTCTGGAGAAAGGATCTAATTTTCTGGAGGGCTGCATTCCAAAGAGCTTTGTTGTGAGCCATGCTAAATTTGACCATGTTTAGGATGCCTATTAGCCATGTGAAAATGTTGTGAATACAGTTGTTTAAATGACCATGGAGTTCTGGTGCATGTTTGAGGCTAAAGATGTGGATGAGGGAATCATTGGCATGTAGCCATTTAAAACCATCAAAGAGGGTGAGTGTACCTAGAAAAAGTGAGCAGGTGAGAAGACAAAGGGAACTCAGGATAAAACTCTAGAAATGCTCAAATATTTAGAGTTGGAGCAGAGGAGCCAAAGTCAGCTAAAGACACTGAGAGGAAACAATCAGTGGCCCAGAAGAAAATTGCCATAACTAGGTATATTAGAAGCTGATGGATACTATGTCTGACAGAAGGTGAAATATAAAATGAGTTCCTCTGAAGTCCTTTTGGCTTGGCATGTGTGAGATAAAAGAGGAAAGAGAATGAAATGTTTTAATCAGTTCCCTGATTTCTTTCCAAAAAGCAAAACATTGAAAGAGAAAATTCAGAACAATTGTGAATGAATGGCATGATTTTGTAGATGAACTCATCTAGGAGTCTAGGGGTCTGTCTAGGCACTTTCCAAGATGTTTTCGAGATTCTTTCAAGTGCATGTAATAAAATGAGTTTGCTTCTCTTACTAGGTTATAATGCTCAAATGAAGTAACTTCTGGGAATGCATTTTCAAAGCTGTGAATCTCTACACGAAAGACAATGTGAAATGGTCCACTGTTTTAAGGATCAATTAGGAAGCAATAGGCTCCTAAAGAGAAAATTTAATTTTAAAAGGCTATTAGTAACGACAATAACAACAACACAAACAAACAACCCAATTCGAAAGTGGACAAAGGATTTGAATAAACATTTTTCAAATGTTATACAAATGATATACAAATGGCCATAAACATATGAAAAGATGCTCAACATCAGTTACAACTAAGGAAATGCAAGTCAAAACTACAATGTGATACCAGCTCAGACCCATTAGGATGGCTATATAAAAATAAAACAAAAAAACAAAACCCAGAAAATAACAAGTCTTGGTAAGAAATGAAAACATTGGAACCCTTGTACACTGTTGATGAGAATGTAAAATGGTACAGCTGTTCCAGGGAACAGTGTATGACAGTTCCTCAAAAAATTAAAAATAGATTTACCATAGGATCTAACAATTTCACTTCTGTTTTCGGCCATGTTAAATTTGTATATACATAAAACAATTGAAAGGGTCTTGAAGAAATAGTTGTATACCCATATGCATAGCAGCATCATTCAAAATAGCTAAAATGTGAAGCAACCCATGTATCCATCCACAGATGAATAGTTAAGCAAAAGGAATATATATATATATATATATAAAATATATATATATATATATATATACACACGCACACACACATATATATACACACACACTACACACACACAATGGAATGTACAATCGAATATATATACACAATGAAATATTATTCAGCCCTTATAAAAAGAAAGGAAATTGTCACATATGCTACAATATGGATGATCTTTGAGGACATATGTTAAGTGGAACAGCCAGTAATGAAAAAGACAAATGATATATAATTCCACTTATATGAGATACCTAGAGTAGTCAAAATTATAAAGACAAAATGTGGAATGGTGGTTTTCAGGAGCTGGGGGGAGAGGAGAGATAAGGAGTTATGGTTTAACGGGCATAGAGTTTCAGTTTTGGAAGATGAAAATAGTTCTGATGATGAATGGTGGTGATGGTCGTACATGAATATGAGTATGCTTAATACCACTGAATTGTACACTTAAAAGTGGTTAAGATAGTACATTTTATATGTATTGTACAATAAAAATATTTGAAAAAAATAAATAATAAGAAAAAGTTTTTAAAAGGCTCTTGGTAGTATCTGGAAATTTATTCAGCAGAATTCCATTCAGAAGAAGAACTGATTCTGATATATGGTCACTCAATAAAATTTGTTGGATAAATAAAATTGTATCGTTAAGGAGACAAAAAAGAATGATAAATGAAGGGGTCCCAATAGAGTGGGTGATATATGTACCGTGACTAAAAGCTCTGTTTATTTTAGCCTAGGAGATTCACTATGTTGAGGGGATGTTTTTAAACGGATGGATGTAGGGACGCAATATTCAGAGTGGAGATAGTCCAAAATGTTACTTTACAGCCTCCTTTTCTTCAGTAAACATTTAGAAAAGTCTTCTTTATTAAAGGGGAGATTAGTAAATTAATATAATTTGAGTACGTTGGTGCAAAAGTAATAAAGAATTCAATAATACCTGAAAGTATTATTTTTCTTTCTTGAAAGATGTTCAAAAAATGAAAATTATGTGCTCAGTCCCATGGCTCCATATGAAGATGGTTTATTTGAGTAAAAGCCAAGTGAATAACAGAAGTAAAAAATGAAAATTATATTTAAAAATTAGTTTAAATTATACAAGATGAAATTGTCCTATCTTTAAATTCTGAAATGTTAATTAATCAAATTTTAAAATGCGGCAGTCGTTGACCCCTATAAAGTCAAAACAACTAATATAAACTTTCAGATAGTTGTTTTACAGATTTACGTTAGAAATAAAAATTGTTAAAATATGAAAGAAGCCAGGCAATTACCCTATTTCAATCTTTAAATTAAAGAAAATGATTTGTCTCAAGTAATGTAAGCCAATAGTGTGAGAGGTGAGAAAATAGCCTGGAAAGCCATTAAATTAATGAATACCTGTTTTGTATGGCACAGTTCACAGAGGAGGTAGGAATAATAATTCTTTAATTTTTAGATATTACATAGTTTTTCTAATGTTCTATGTATCTATTTTAACCAATTTCTATCATTTTACAGTGAAAATGAACAGGTGAAAAAATATTTCACCAGGTGCATATACGTCACATTTGAGGGATCTAACAGCTTATATTCTGGCAGCATGATGATGTTTACCAGGGACAGATCTAAATTTTGTGGGGCCTAAATCATAGGCAACTTGGGTGAGGACTTTTTAAGGAAAATAATACAAAATTATGAAGATAAAATTATTAGAAATACAATATTCCCCTTGGAGGGTCTATTTAGTTGATGGACTTTGACACTTAACGCTATACTAACTTTGCGTAAAATCTGCCTCTGCTCCACTCCAGCCTGGGCAACAGAGCGAGACTCCGTCTCAAAAAAAAAAAAAAAAAAAAAAAAAAAAACTGCCTCTGCTCTAGGGAAATATTGGGTGAGTTTTTCATTAATCTTAAATATTTTTAAATAAAATTAACATTTTGATAAAAACTTCTGTTTGGATCTAATTTGGTATTATAAAATAATCCACTTTTTAAATTCTAAGAACTCTCCAAAGTAGCATATAGTGTCTTCATAGTTTATTTCTACTTTGAATCTTGATAATATTTTAATGACAATGGAAGATACCAGAAGTTACCCTTTTAGATTTTGTCAGCAGTATTTATTTGGCACCTACTGTGTGAGGAGCAGGGAAATAATGGTATAAAACATCTATTGGGGTCTTTCTTCTCAACAATTTGATGCTAAGAACAACATAACTCCTGACTCATAAGGTCACTTGGGAAAGGGTAAATGAAGTGGTATCACAAGGTTTACTTTAACAACTGAAAAAATGTGTCACATGTATTAATGTCAACAACTGGAATTTTACCTCATTAGGCAATTTCTGGATCTAAGGCTCTGATTATTATTCTAAGCAGAAAAAATATGCTAATTATTCACTCTGAATGTAGAAGGAAAAAAGGTGTAAAATCTCCCGTTAGCCGTGTGACCATGTACTAATTGCATGTCATGTGTCAAAATAATGCAGCTCACTGTGCCTAAAGCAATTAGACACACAGAACTCCATTAATGAAGCACTGTCTGTCACTAAAAGTGTTTTCTGTGCTATAGTTGAAGATTAAAATATTAACTTCTCAAATATTTATGATAGTTACTGACAGCATTTCAAAATGTTGCTTTTAACAAAAGCTTTCTATTAAGAATTAGTTTTTAATTTGGATTTTATATTCAAAGAATATATTAACATATGGAAGTAAGAGGGGATTTCTTAGGTATCTGAAGAGAGTTTATTATAAAACGTGGATTACTTTTAGAAAACTTTACCATGATTTTGCCCACTAATTTTTTTTCCTCAGAAAGGGAGTTTTCTCAGGGTATTTCCAAAATGTCTCTTTTTCTCATTTAAATATTCATTTGACAATGATGTGCAAACGTAGGTTTTACTTGTATTATTTCTCTCTTTTATTTAAATTAATCAGTTCTGAACTCATTATAACAAATCAGACCCTACTGGTTAAATATATTATAATCTACATATTGTTTGGTGATTTGAGAGGCATCCAGAAGTGATGACAGTAACCTTAAAGATCATCAATTCTAAATTAATCAGGAACAAGAACACTGCTACCTCTATGCTTAACCCATTTACTGAGTGATTGCTAGGTGCCAGGTACTATGATAAACATACAGTTTTTTAAAAATTTATTCTGGCTATGGACTCTACTTTTGTTTCCTTATTTTTCATAACTATCTGATTCTGAACTAATTTCCATGACAGATAATTGACTTTGCTTTGGTCTACACCTCAATTTTTACAGTCTGAAAGTTTTGGACAGAAAAAACAGCCTTCTTTAATTTTTGCATGTTTTGTACTGTTTCAGTGCATGCAACTCTCTACTAAGCTTTATGAATAAAAAAAATTGTGTTGTCTTTTGTTCAGGATTCCCTGGTTCCAGTTTATTTTAGATCAGTGATTTTCTGAAATCTGTTTAGATTCATGCCAAGATGATATAAACCTATTTATTAATTCAGGTTAAAAAAAGAAAACTAATGGCTGTTATTAGACTAGCGATATTACATTAAGATGACATTCGCTGATTTTTTTAACATTTGTTTTGCCATTTTTGAGGTATCTTCTGAGTTTACTAGAAATCTTTTGTTTTGTAAATATACCTTAGAAAATTTAGTGCCAAATACTCTATCTTGGATTAGTGCTGGAAACTTTTTAGTTTAGCTCAATAAATGCTGTAACTTAATCTAAAATTAAATTACAAAACTTTACTCAGGTGGCAGCAAATACTATCTTTTTGTTTTTATAGTCAAACTTAAGGACCACTTGAAGTTTTTGTACTTGACTGTGTTTCTTTAACCCTCTTCTCACTCCTATTTATATAGGAGGACAGCCTTGCTATCTAGAAACATTCATTATTATTGCAAACTAAAAGTAACACATTTTGTAGCCATATTAGATATTTTTCTGATTAGTAATTTCTCTGCAGTTCTTAGCTGACTGAGTGCTTAACATTAACACCCTGAAAGTGATAACCTCCAGATTCTTCCCTTTGGGATAGTATATGGTTAATATGGACAAGTGTTTATTTGGTTGAGGGTTCACATTGTTTCTAAAGGAATAGGCAAAAGTTTATTATCTACAATTACGATATGCTCAGTCCATATCTGCACCTAAAGAGTATTGAATATTCAGAGGTGAAAAACATCAATTCTTTTTCACATTTGTGAAGCATTAAATAGAAAATAAATTATTTAAGCAGCTAAAACAATCATTTGTTCAGTTTGCCTTTCAAACCAAACACTTTGGCCATCCCTGAGGCTCTACTTTGTATGGAAAGGGTGAAATAAGATGACTATGTTGAAGAGATTTGATCTATTAATTTTTTGTCACCTCGTTTTGTCCAGATTATTGGTCATTTTTAAGTGAAAAACATTGACTTTATTTCTCCTACAGGCAACTTTGTAAGTAGGTTAATTTCATAAGTTCTATTGCACTAAGTTAGTTTAGCTGAATCTACTAGAATGCATGGTCTATAAATACAAGAGTTTTCTTCTGTCACATATAATACCAGTGGTATTATTGGTATGGTTTAATATCTGGTACATAGGGTGCTTTCTAACACTAGTAGGTATTTAATAAGTATTTGCTAAATGAATAGATGAGTGTTTTATATCTTTATTCATTTTATTTTTATTATATCAATGTTTTTGCATACACAAAAGATTTATATGCTATGCAAATATTATTAATAAAGCATAAGGATACAACGACTCATAAGCCCAATACTTAGCCCAAGAAATAGGACATTACCAGTAATTTTCATCTACCTACATGTTCCTTGCCTGTCTTATAACTGTGACTCTTTCCTCAAAGATACCACTATCCTAAATTTCGTGTTTATTATTCCATTTTTTTAAAATATGGAATTGTTTCAGAAATACTAGCTCTTTATATTGTTATATAAAGACAATATATAAAAAACAATTTATATTGTTATATAAATATAAACAATATATTTATATTGTTTGCTTTTTTTGGGGGAGGGTTCTATAAAAGTGGTATTCTAAGTTATCTTTATCTTCTTAGACTTGCTTTTTTAACTCAGCATGTATCCTTATTGTTGTATGTACCTGTTTCTTTCCTTTACTGCTGTATGATAGCCATAATATATCTATACTATCTTAATGAAAAATTTCTACATTTTCCAGCTTTTTACTATTATTAATAAGGCTATTGACATTCATGTATATCTTCTGGAACATGTGCATAAAACTTCATCACAGGCAGATACCTAGAAATAGAATTTATCTGTTGTAAGGTATTTAATGGATTACCTTTGAGAGAAAATATCAAATAATTTTCCAAGGTAATCTAAAAATTTAAATCAGCAACTTGCCTTCCAAGCAACAGTATATGAGAATTCCAGTGCTCTGTATCGTGGTGTAAGCTTTGATAGTTTTGTTGGTTTGCTTTTCTGCTTTTATTATTTATGGTTTTTGGAATGGAGGGATCCTTAGAAACTAAGGATTTACCTTTTTTGAGTCAGAGATTTCTCAAATAGTGTAGCTTTTCAAACCTCAATTATTTTGCAGTTAAAGGGTCCCTTGGTGCTCTAAGTCAGCCCTATTGCCAGAACCTGAATACTTGCTATTTGAAAAATTATTCAAAGGTTGTTAGATATAAGCCCAATACACAAAAGCCACTTACAGTTTTGCATGCAAATAACAACCAATTACAAAAATGTACCCTAAAAAGTCACTTAAATTACTAACTAAAAATATAAGTTATCTAAAAATAAATTTTAAAAAGGATGTGGTAAAGCTGTTAGGAACAAAACTATAATAGGTAATTGATCAACAGAAAGTGAGGAGATATGCCATGTTCATTGATGGAAGGCTCAATATTCATGAAAATATATGTCCTTCCAAAACTGATCCAACACTTAAAAGCAACATCATTTCAAGTTCTAATATATTTATTCACCTTTCTAAATAATGAACTCATTGAATAATTTATGTGGAAGAATAAAAGGCTAAAAATTGCAAAGACATCTCTAAAGAAGCATTGGCAGGAAGATTTGTCCTATTAAATATCAAGACTTATAAAGGAAAATTATTAACACAGTGTAGTGGTATTGGTGTAGGGATGGAAAATGGATCAATGGAACAAAATAGACAGTCAAGGAACCTTTTTATAAATGAAAACACATGCATTTATGGATATAGCTTTCATTGAGATCAATGAAGAAAGGAAAATATATTCAGTAAATATTGCTGTCACTAAAAATAAAAAATATTTTTTATTTGAAAAAATTATTTATCTCATAGTATACACAAAAATCAACCTTAGAGAAATCAAGAACTTAAAAATTTTGAATTTTTTTAAAAAATTAAAATTTTGAAAATTTAAAAAATAAGATATATTTACCTCAGGATAAAGAATTTTATCTCTTAAGAGTGATAGAAAGAAAAAATTCTAAAGAAAATAATAATAAGTTCAATAATAACAAAATTAAGAATCTTAAGTATATACACGAGAAACTCTTGTACATCAAGATGAATGCAAGAATGTTGAAAATAACACAGACTAATAAGAAACAGCCAAATGTCTATCAAAAAGAGAACAGTATGTTAAAAATGGATCAACATATAGTGATTTAAATGAATAAAGAGGAATATTTATCATCATGAATAACCCTCAAAAACATATTGCTTAGTTGAAAGAAGTAACAGAAAAAGGATAATTTCGTTTAATCTTTGATTTTTCCAAAATATGCTATCACTAGAGATGAAAACATATAGTGAAGTGTAAAATATGTGTGGAGATGTTAACCCAATTTAACAGACTGATTACTCGGGAGGTAGAGGGAGAAGAAAGAATGGGATACATGTGGTTACACAGGGACATTCAACCATATAAATAATGTTTCATTTCTTAAGTTTGATACATCAGTATCCATTATAATATTTGTTATGCCTTTTGGGTATCTGATATGTTCCACAAAATACACCTTCAGTTCCTTTTTAATTTATAAATTTCTAACTAATTATAATATGTCCTGCTTGGTTTGATTTTTCTCCAATTCCTAACTTATATTAATCCATCTCAGTCCAATATAGTTCAAAGCATAAAAATTGGTTAACAAATGTCCTAATCTTTATTTTAAAATATTTTAAAAATCTATCTGCCCAACCATCATGTATTGACCCTATGTGAGGTACTGTACCGATGGTTAGAAAAGAAGGAATAAAAAACAGATAGCACCGCTGCTCTGGAGGATCTCCCAGTTCAGTAAAGATCAGCCTGTTAATGACTATGGTGTAAAACGCAAAGTAATAGATAAAAGGAACTAATGAACTGGGTCACAAAGTATGAACAGCCGTGTCAGGCACTGAAGATAAAGGGAACAACGTATTTAAAGGTGAAGATGTAGACAAAGTATTAATTATTTCAAAATTTGGGATTTTCTGGAATATCCAAACGCTGACTCCATTTATCTTGAGAAAGTTGATATTGCTTGCCTTAGTTCTAACAAGCTGTTGCTGTAATTCTGCCTATTGTTCCAATACAATAGAATTTTCTTTGTTTTCTGGACACTTTGGTCACCGAGTGTCAGTTTGTTTTAAGTATGGAATTTATGTTTATTCTTAATTTCCTATGGAAACAGTAATTATATACTTTGGGAATAATAATTTTAACTGGTTTACAAATTAGCATATATTAAATAATACTACCATGTTGTAAATCTTACTCATCTATTTTATAGCCCTGACTTGTTGGAAATAATAAAATTGGTGTTTCTTTTTTTTTTTTTTTGAGACGGGAGTCTCACTGTCTCCCAGGCTGGAGTGCGGTGGCGTGATCTCGGCTCACTGCAAGCTCCCCCTCCCGGGTTCGCGCCAATCTCCTGTCTCAGCTTCCCGAGTAGCTGGGAGTACAGGTGCCCACCACCACGCCCTGCTAATTTTTTGTATTTTTAGTAGAGATGGGGTTTCACTGTGTTAGCCAGGATGGACTCGATCTCCTGACCTCGTGATCCGCCTACCTCGGCGTCCCAAAATGCTGGGATTACAAGTGTGAGCCACCACTGCGCCCGGCCTAAAACTGGTGTTTCTATGTTGGAAAATGGAGTAGATTATGATTGAAGTAAGAAAGAAAGATAATGTGTGTGTATAGGTGTGGGCGACCTATGTTTAACTGGGTTTAGGGTTTGAGTAACTGGCTTTCTGTAGTGCTCGTTTCAACAGGATGGAATGTGGCACAGTGTGATTACTCCTCTAACAGAAACTCAATCCGCTGAGAGAGTACAAAGAGACAGAGAAATTTCCATGGGAGAACTGGAGAAAGCCTCATGTAGGACTTTGCTTTTGATCTGTGGCTTGGCAACTGGAAGGATTTAAAGTGGTAATAAAGAGAAGGGAGAAATCTCAAGTAGATGGAAGAAGTCGTTCACAAACAGCACAGTGGTGACTATTTAGCAATCAAAAATTAGATCGCAGATAAAAAGTTCTCCCGTGTTGACTTTAATCTTCATTAATTTATCAGTTAACAACTTGATTGGGTGCCTACTCTAAGCAAACTAATATGCTCAAGAGATTATGTTCTCAAAGAAGTTAGCAATTCAAGGGATGGAATAAATGTACATAACAATAAATCTAAAATTAAAAGACAGTATATATTGAAAATTAAGACATGCATCCAGGCTTTAGATGTCGAAAGAAAGAGTTGAATTTTACCTTAGCACCAAATAAACACAGGATCCTAGTGTCAGAAACAGCCTTTCAACAAAAATGAGAAGTTACTTTTACTTGTGTATCTATTCTACCCACACTCCTGGAAATAGCTGCCTTGCGATATGTTTGGAATACCCAATTATCATTCTCCGTACATGGTTATAGGAAAATGAAATTATTTAGCAGAAAATAATAAGAAAAAGTGTTATAACAATCCATGCATATTAAATGGAATCTTCTAACATTGGCAAAAGCTCAATTTTTTGAGTGTCTTCCACATTACTTACAGGACCTAAAATTGTACAAAAGTTTCTTGTTCCGGATTCCAGCTTCTCCTCCTGATTTTTCTGCCTTTCTCAGATTTTCTCAACCTTTTTGGAACCTAAAGTTTATTGTAGTACCTCTGACACATTCTCAGCTATTTTGTGCTGAAATAATCTGCATTTGGATTCAATATCGGCAAGAAAGAGAACAAATTGAGCTTTAATTTGATATTAGAGCGTTCTATTTTATTTCTGAAATTGGTATTTTTTTAATTCATCTCTCTCTCTCTCTCTCTCTCTCTCTCTCTCCCCTCACACACATCTTCCAGATTCCACACTATCTTCTTCAGCTTTCTCTGGCACGTCCGCTTTCTCACACAGGTGTTACAAATGCATTTAAATAGGGCTACTGGCTGTATATAAGCTGAGTCTCCAAGCCCCTGGTACAACCTTTATTATTCCATCGAACTTCACTAACAAAACAAAATCAAAGATAAAATTATTATTAAAGATTAAATTATTAACAATCTGAAGTTAGTGACTACAAAGCATTAAGCACCAGAGTGGGGTGGTTTCTGAGTGTGAGGCTCTGTGTGTCTACTGGTCACAAGCTCATGCAATGAAGAATGAGGCCCCATCATCGTTTAGTGTCTCCATACTGTTATTTTAAAGCTTTTCTTGACAATTTCTGTGGATCCAAGAATGTGACACTGGAAGAAAAGAACCATGTCTACTTTCATAACGGAAGTAGGAGCTGCTCCTCTAAGGAATGGGAAGAGTTGAAATAATACTGCCAGCTAAACAAGTTATCTCCTGGAAGGTTCCCTTAAACTGTACTGGTATGGAATTCTTTTAATGAAATTTTATGCTGACTTTGGAAGTAATAACTACCCCTCATCAGGCACCAAGATATCATTGAACAATTTTATGTGCTTCTTTTCCTAAAAGAAATGTGCAACTTGGGCTTAATACAAATGCTGTATCTAATTAGGTTGAACCATATGAAATTGCTGATATTCAACCATTTCTGACCTACAAAAGCAGCAGTTTTATATGGTTCCACCTAATATTAGCTGGCCAATGTTCCTTTCTCTGTTAATAAGTATACACAAATATTGTGCCTTACTTCTCATTTTCCTCCATCCAACTTCAGTTGCTTGATAATTCTGCAATATTACATCAATCTTTAATAAAATGTTGCACCATTTTCAACATGTAAGTGTTTCTAGGAAGTTTAAAGAGATACCCTTTAATAACATTAGAAAATTGGCCTTCACTGTTTAACTAGAAAGTACACCAAAGTTAGAAGCAAACATATTTGCCTTGATAGCAACACCATGGAAACCAGAAGATACTGATTTGGTTGCTCAGAGCTTTCTTTCACTATGACCCTATTAAGCATTGCTTTACATATTCAGTCTTTTAAGAAACAAGGTAAGTTTATGGGGGCAAATATGTCTCTTTCACTCTTTTTTAGTTCTTTTTGGGTTAGTTTGTTATATATTTGAAAGGAAGTTGGTATATATTTCCTTTAGTCAACCAACTTTTTCCCCTTTGCCTAATAATATGCAGGAAGAAGTATAAGGTATTTATCATTTATTCTTATAATTAAAAAAATTTTTCATTCAGCCTGATACTTAGGATGGGCTCAGAGACTGACGAGGAGAGGCCACAAAAGGCATTGGGTAATGCAGAAGAACACAGCGCTAAAAACTGTAAGCCCTACACATTTCCTGTCTGAGCAACTGACATTCTTCCTTTGATTTCAATTTCTGGTGTATTTGGATTGAAAGAACTTCTTACTCTTTAGATATTTATGAAATAAGTAACTATCAGCTCTAAAATGCTTGCTCATTGGAAGAAGCAAATGTTGCTTTGGAACCAGTAATGCAAAAGCATAATAAAAGTGATAGAAGTACATTGGTACAGTATTTCCTAACATCATAATTATAAAAAACTAGCAAGAATTCTGTTAGAAAAATTCACAGCACTAATATTAAAACCAAAATTTCATGTAGTGTGTTGTCTGAGAAAAATTGTAAGATAAAACAAATATATTTTTAAAAAGTAGCTTGCCACATTTTATATTCTGTAAAAACATTATATAATTACTTAAACCTAAATAATTCATGTTGTATGACTTATGAGCATCATTGGTCAACTTTTACTCCAAAAAAAAAAATGAAGGAAATTTGACCTGGAGTGCATCTGGCCTATCTTATGGCATTAACTGTCAAACTTCCCTTTTTCATTTTAACCACAGAATTGTTATTCCCGTGTGTTGACTGCAGACTCTGCCTTAGTTTGGGAGCTATTAACATCTATCAGGATCAATTGTACATACTTGAACTAAGAAAAATTTACTTGACAACTCTAATGGCTGTGAAAAAGCCATTACAGAGTCACAGAGAAAAGGGGGAAAAGAGGCCAAGGCATGCCAGAACAAGAGGAGGAATTTTTCTCTTACTAGCCCCTAACATTTTTCCTATTTCTAGCCCCAACTCTGTAATGTTTCCTTGTCCATTTTTACAAAGTTAAATGCATATGTCTCAAAGCCTTTGTGTTTTGTTAAAAACATGCATGTATAATAAAAGGGCACGGGCTGGGAGCTGTGGGCTGTTGGGAACACGTGGCAATGTAGTGTGATGCAGCTGACAGGGCCAGCAAACACTGGAGAGAAGACTCTCGTTTAAAAAGGGCAGCAAAGAGCATGAAGGAAATCTCCTGATAGGTGATATTTGTCAGGCCATCAGAGCAGCACTACCTGTGTTCAGTCCCGCCCAGGAGCCTTTCAAATGGCAAATAAGAGAATGATGCCATTGATGAGTTGAATCATTTCTCGGAGTCTTTTCCATTATATTTCAGAGCAGCCCCTCCCAACAAATCCCTTACAATCCCACGCCATATTTAAAGTAAATATACCTAGGAAAGGTAACCTAAAAGCTTTGTAAGTTCAGCCAAATTATTTGCAAATTGGCACTTTGGAGGATTTGGGCAGACAATTAGTATCCCTTTAAATAAAACAAAAAAGTATATAATTCATATTAACCTTTGATGAGTAGTTGTCATTTTCCCCAAATACATTAAGATTTTTCCTGTTACTTTTCCTTCTGATCCTGCCTCCTGTTGTATGTATGTTTTATAGAGCAACAAATGGGTAAAAATGCATATTGTCCCAAAGATGACTATAGAAGATGATGGTGAAAGGGGCTGTCCAAGAGTGGTGGAATTGATTTCCAAATCAAACAACTTGTTTATAAAAATAATTTTATAACCACAGTATTTATTTAGAATGCAGCAGAGATCTGTCCAGGAGGAATAAATGTACCAAAAAAAAGAATAAAAAAAGAAGGAAGAAAGAAAAAGAAGAAGAGAAACAGAGATTTTACTTTTAGCTCATCTTCAGATTTGCAAGGGACAGACAATAAGCGAGATTCATTAGGCCGTTTGTTTCTGTCATCTGCCATGATTCAAAATGAAATACTAAATGTTTCATGGACTCGCAAAAAGAGTAAAATTTGTCTTTGTGTTGGCTGTGCAAAGACGGTGTGGCTTACAGCCCCTGTACAAGAGCCTGACGGATGAAAGGGGGCAGGGTGGTGCCGTCTGAATGATGATGGGCTAATATCATCACCCTCTTGTCAGCTGTAATAGGCTTTTCCTCACAGAAATAATTCATAAAACCGCTACATTATATTCTATCCCTGACAGGCCCTATCTATCCTCCAACCCAGCAGGCTCACAACTAATAAGAAAATACGTGGTTCAGGAACCCTGAAAAATTAAACAGGTAGTTTATGAACAATTTGTTTCATGGGGATGTTTATTATGTTTATTAAATATTGAGCCTTTAATGTTTTCCCAGTGCAGACGATATCATAAAAATGCTGACTTAAGCCTCAAATGTATTCTTAGACAATGACATTTTACAGCACTAGTAGCACATAGTAAATAACTAAATTATAGCAGCTTCTGTGTGTGTATAGAGACAGTATGTAGAAAATGTAATTTATAATGTATCTTTATGTATATGTACATGTGTATGTGGTTGCGCCCTTGTGTATCATGTTGAAGCTTCCCTTGTAGTCTTAGGCTTAAAAGTAAGTTGGGGAATACCATTATTTTAGCACTTGTCTAGGAGAAGATCAGCCCAAGATGTGTTTTATTGCTTGTACTAAAGGAGAAACCTTGAATTCAGTGTTTCAGGCATCAAGAGTACACATACTCTGGACACTAATAATAAACTTAATCACTAGTGTTACTTTGTAAGTACAATTTTTATATAAATCCTTTACCTGGGTTTTCTCTGGAGACCAATGTATATGAGAATGTGAGAGTAAAATGGCTCCTGGTAATGTGATGTTCTTTATTTGAAAAGTATCAAATTAGATACAGAAACTTCTGCAGAGAGCTGGCAGAGAAGGTGCATGAAGCATGTTCTTCCCGTGCCCATACCTTGCACTTTACTAGCTTTGCTGTCATAATATATTTAATCAGTGTGACAGTAAATGATCTTCTGCTGTAGACAAGCAAGTGGAAGATTATCTGCATCTTACAGGGTTAATGGCCCTTCCATAATAAACAATACCCACAATATGAAAATAAGGCAATAATTCACGTACATATTTCAGAAAACACAGGCCCAAGGTGATTTACAAAGGAAGTTGGATCAAACCTGTGGTTAAATGCTATAGCATTCCCAGGCACAGCTTTACCGATCTCAGAAGGACTTCTTAATTTACTATATATACCCGCAGAGAAACATACACACAGGCATTTTGCAGTGAATACATCATCATAGGGTTTCATCGAGGGTATAGGTACATGTAATATGAAAATTCAGATGAATTTGAAAATACCAGCATGAACAGGTTAAATGCAGGGTCTGTTTGAAGAGTGGTTATCAGTGAATCAGCTTCAACCTAGGGGAGTTGTTTAGAGGCCACTCATGGACCTTTGTTGTCTAATACTTTTATAAGTATTCAAAATGATGGAATAGAGACAAACTGACCCCAAGCTTGAGGATGACCCTGGAAGCTAGCATTCAAATTAAGGGTGACTTTGGTAAATTATGAGGCATGGTCAGAAATTCATCAGAAAGGGGAGGTGCCCTTGGGTAAGAAAGCTAAGCTTGCACATAGGAGATAGGGGATGCCTAATTCTCTCTAAGGGCAGGAATAACCTTTCTTGCTTTCATTGTGGATGAGCTAGCTGATAGAAAAACAAAATAAGTATTGAAAAATCAAGAAAGCTACTATGATTACTAAAAATGGTCTAGTTTAGGGAATGTAAAATAACCTTTGTGTTCAGTACTCTCAGCTTCTGAGCTGTTTTCAACTTAGCTGCTATAAATGAAGAGCAGTGCAAGAATTTGGACAGAAAAAGTTAAAGGATTGAGATAAGTAGCTTGCAGAAGAGAGCAATTAGACTGAATAACCACCTTTACTTCTAAAAGGGTTTTTATCTAGAGTTTGGGAACAAGCTGTTTTCTGCTCTCCCAGTAAACTGGTCCAGCAGGTTGGATTGAGATTAAATGCATTTTTTAAAAATCATGGGATCATTAAATATCAGATTAGTTAGCAAGAGCGGCATATTCTGTTGCTGAGATTTTAAAAGTAGAATTGATATACATTGGTTAGAAATAGGCTAAAACACTCTGTCCCTAAGAGAAGGGGAATGGTTGTTTAACTTCTTGTGGTTCCTTCCAACTTCAAGAATCTACAAATCTAGAGCAGGGGTCCCTGTGCACAGTTTCAGACATTGCCATTTAGAGTGTATTTTAACGGTGATTAGACCTCCTGAGGCTTCTTTTGAAACTTAATGTTAAATAATAAAAACTATAACTCCCTCTCCTTTTGCAAGTACATTCTCCAAGTGGCAGGTTGTTTTCTAATAATGTTGAAAAATTATTTTTTTTTAAACTTTGACCTGTTTGGAATTTTATGTCCTGGTAGGAGCTGATACCTACTAAAAAGCTGTGTTTAGTTCTTGCAGCGGGTGGAGATGGGAGTAACCCTTTCTATCCTGCCTGTGGTTTTCTATGTAGTCTGAATTTGTTTATGAAGCCAAAAAGCCCTGAGTAGTTCTCTGCACAAGAGACAGACAAAATGCATGGCAGTTTGTAGAAAGAAAAAGTTTACTCTGGGTAATTAAAGAACCATGAACATCCTAAACAGCATTAGGCTATGTTTGGTCTCAGGGACACATGTGGTGCCACCAATTTCAGACACTCTCCTTTTTAGAGAGAGGCAGTTGGTGGCAATTAATTACCCCTGGATTGCACATACAGCTGCAGCCTATGTATGGAAACAGAAGAGAAATTAGATTTAATTGGCCTTAGTGCAATCAAGAATGTGGCATTTATTTAATGATGACTTGTTGGGAATGAAACCTTGATTAGTGTTTTATTGCATTTTTAATATTAATATTAACATAATAATAACATACAGCACATAAAAATGAAATAAGCTTTTTGGATGTTATATTAAGGTATCGCATGTTATTTTTGGAGACACATGAAGTGTGTTCTTTTGACAATCAAAAAATTCTCAACTGTATCAAAAATGAAGGGTTTGTTACCCTTGAGTGTCAGTCACATTGATTATTTCAAAGTTTTCCTTTAGGACCTGATGCATCCTCGGCAGAGCTTGTATTAGTCGGTGAAATGATTCATTGAAACCCAGTTTCTTTTCTATTTTGATCTACTTTTTGGCTTTGAAGTTAAAATGTTTGTCATTAAGTGCCCTTGCATCTTTTACTTGGTAATAACTGGAATTCTTTCAAAGGGGAAAAAAAATCTGCAGTTCAAACTAAGAATACAGAAAATAACACATTCTAACTATATAGGGTTTTTAAATTTGACCTAATTCTCAAATACTCATATTAATAAAAATTCTCATATTAATAAAATAATTGCACTTACACTTTAATTATTTACATGATATTTTTCCTGGTTTGTATATCTTAAATAAATCTTAAATATATCTTAAATATATTCTTAACAATGAGCCCACAGAGTTTTTTGACCCTATGGTTTTGAAGGTTGAACATTTGCTCCCAATTTACTGGAACATACTGTGTTACAATATGCATTCAAACAGTGCCTCCCTGATGGGAATGTCCCCCAAATACCACACAGACTAAACAAAATGAATGCTTCTGACTGCCATGCTGTATTAAAATAATCTGTCTTATATTCCACACGTGCCAGGCAATCTTTCTGCATAGTTTCACACAAAAGCAGCAGGATTAGAAGTGCTTTGCTGTTGCATAAAGCATTCGTAAACAGAGGAAAAGCAACACTCCGTGGTCCTATGGATGTTTATAAACTAAAGCAGTTGTGCGTTCTAGAGAGTAAGATGGGAATTGTCTTGCCACACTTGCAGCAGTCACAGTGACTTGCTATGTTGTCTAGAGATCAATGTTTATTCTTAAATCTTCCACCTCTGCAAATGGGATGCTGAAATATTACACCACCCCAGAGTTAAGCAGAGAGAAAGGATTTAATAGTGATACCAAGTTCAGAGGGTAAGCAAGAAGCTAGGAGGGCCAATCATACATGCCCAGGGTCAAGGCTGGGAAAAAGAATTATTTTACAGATGGCAGTTTTCCTTGAATTTTTTCTTTTCCTTGAATTTTTTGTATTCTGTTTTTTTTTTTTTTCATTATATGAAGAAAAAAATCTTTCATAGAGGTCTCGACACTTTATTTCACCCAACATTTCTTAAATACCTGCTGGGTGTACATATCATGTTCAAGATACATTGAAAATTAAAGATGGGTTTGCTCTTTAAAAATCGTGAAGGAACCTGAGAATCAAAGCAACTGCATGATTTTTTTTTTTAATGTGGGGCACCCAGAAGCAGTGCTCAGGGAAAACTGTCCCAGCCTTAGAGTCATGAGACCTAGTTGTCATTCTTGTTATTTTGCTAGGAATTGACAACGTGAACTTGGGCTCACCATTCCTTCTCTTGAACTCAATTTCCTCATTTGCAAAATGAAGCTGTTAGGCTCCTTAGAAGCTCTCTGAGGCCCTTTCATATCTAATGTTCTATTATTCTTATCTATAGGACTGAGGGGAAATGCTGGAGCCTTAACAAAGAGAAAGGAAAATCCTAAAATTCAAAAATATTTTTTAAGGATGTGTCAAATATATATTCAAAATGAGAGAACAGATTCTCTTTACAAAAAAAAAATCACTATGAAAACCAACTCAAACAGGAGAGTGGGAGGTAGGGGGAAATAATTGTTTCATTTTCTTTTTTCAGAAGCAGAGACATGTTCATAAATATGAGAGAATCTAGCTGCTACCTAGTGCTCTGTGGTTCTCTGCAGAGTGAGCTCCGTTGTTGTGCCTTGAGCATCCTGTCCTACATATGGCCATAGCCTTTCACAAGGGGATGGGTTAGTGCTGATGAAACACCTCAGCTGACGCTTGAATCAGCCTTTAAAACTTAAGCAGGAGAAAGACATACAGAGTGAATAACTGCACCTCAAATTACAGCAGCATTTGGCACTTGGTGCCATAGATCAGAAACAATCATTGAAAACTAACATGTATGTGTACATTTATATGTGTCTGTAGACATAACCTCTGCCTTCCTGCTAACTTCCCTGCTAAGCTGAGCTCACTGTTTTTGTCTGATTCATTGTAGGGCTGTTTTCAAGATCTCCCAGTTGGAAGTAGCTACGTTTTATAAAGTTAAATGAACCTGGGCCAGAAAGCAGTCCCTTATATGATTAATTTCATATAAACATATGGGAACTGAATTACTTGTTACTTTAAGCAGATGACAAGTATCATTATCCAAAGTGTTGTTGGTTTGGTGCAGGAGCAGTGAAGCTGCCTGTGCTCCTAACTTACTTTCTTTACTTTTCTATAGAAAAACCCGTCAGATACAGTGCATAATAGCAGCATGTACCTGTCTGTCAACAAAGAAGTCTAGGATATGAAATCACCATTGCAGCAGCTGGCAGAGACAGGCAGCAAACAACCCAAGCCTGACAGAATCACCCAAACCTTTGGTGGCTAAGAAGCCAGTTGTGAAGGAACAATTAAGAACAGGGATTTTATTTCCAATTCCTCCAACCCCATCTTCTCATCAGTTTTTTTGTTTTACAGAATATATTACTATAATAAAGACTTACAGTGAGAACAAGGCATCAGGGATTCTCGTAGCAAGTATACTTAAAATAAAAATATTACATACACACACACACACACACACACACACACACACGAAAATAAAGCCAGGTGAACATGAGTACATATCTGCTGGGTAAAATTACAAGGCAGATGCAATCCAAGCTTCATTTTCAATGTATGATTTGACATATTCCTTACAATGTAACTCATTACATTTACAAAAAAGTCTTCACAGGTGTTGAGAATAGAATGGCTGGCTGGAGCACGTACTAAATTCACAGAAAAGGAAGGACATGTGTGTTTATTATACGTGTGGCTACTTAAATAAGGCTTTTATCTAAATATGGTTTTCTTTTGTGCTGAAAAAATATAATGACATATTTTTAAGACAAAAATTTTATAAGTCAGGGAGACTCTAAGTGCCTTGATAAGGTGCTGTCTTTTGTTGGAGTTTATTGGAGTGGCTTGGAGATAAATCTAGTCTCCTTTTGATACCACACTGGGCAACTGGGGAGTGAAAAGGATTAGGAAGTTAGGAAAAGGAAGGCAATCCTTTTTTTTCTGGCTCAGGAGAAACTTGTATTCATTAAAGTAGTTTCCAGATATGACTTTCAGGCTACAAACTGACTTTGTAGATTCGTATTGGGGAGAAAGGTGGAAAGCAGAAATGAATGACTTCTATACACACTTGCCCATAGTGTACAAATGTAACATATTTACTCCTACTGCCAGTAGCCTCTCTTTTGTGAACAATGTGATGCTGCTTCTTAAGACTGATTTCCAGTACCCTATTGCAGGACTGAATTCAGAGCTGTTTCGTATAATACATTTTGTTTGTTTATTGGTTAATAACTGTGATTTAAGTTTTGAAATCTAAAAGTAAAACAGAGACTGGATTGGATTTGGGGGAAGTTTGAATACTTCTGTGCTGGAAAAGAAGTAATTGCAACTGATAACAAGCTACTGCAGGGCATCAGATTACCTGTCCCCTGTGGCCCCAGATGTTTATTTTATTGAGAGGTTTTCCTTGCGTCAGAATCATCTCCCTTTGCCTTATGATTTCCTCTCCCTTTGGTGAGCTATTTTAACTTGTCTCCAGCTGCCTGACAAAACAGCATCACATCCCTGACACCAGAGGGAGAAATAAAATCAACTGAGTAAAAAAGTGTTTTCATGTCAAAGTTTTATAATTTTAAAATATTGAAAAAAGTTGTCCGCACATCATACGTTGCAGTTACCTGGTAAACAATGAGGTACGCAGACACTGAGGAAGAATAAAGCAAATCAAACTTTTGCCTCAGGGAGGAATAAGCAAGTTAGGATTTTATTATTTCCATGTGTTATTTTGAATATATTATTCTGAACATCACTTAGCACCTCCATGGTGCTAAATTAATTTAAAATGATAATATTTTCCCTTCCTTTCTAAGTGATCCCTTTTGTGGGTATTATAGGGTACAGGTGGTGGGCAGAAAACTTGGAGGTTTTGATCTTGCATGAGAAATATTTCAAGTTGTTAAGTTTTTACGTACCCAATGTGTTGCTGGGTAACAAACCATGGAGGTAGGATATCATTATATTTCCAGAATAGGTATTTTCATTGGTTTATGAAAATGGCATTTTTAATAACACATTTATAAAGCTGTATTAGCTTTCTCAAAGCATTTCACATTTGTTATCTTACTTAACCCTTCCACTTCGCCAAGTGCTGTTCGTTGAGGTGCTACTTTATATGATTTACAGGAGAGGAAGGTTAAAGGACTTAATCAAAAGTTGGGAGCGGTGTTACCACCAGAAGCTGGATATTGTCTCCTCTACCTCACAGAGGAACCAAAGTAGACACACATTTTACCTGAAATAGAAAGTAATTTGAATCTATTTCATCTTTAAGTCCTAGGAAACCAGGACCTGTGGCTTAAGATGGGCTAGAAAGGTTTTCCAGGGAGATATAACAAATGAAACTGGCTCTTTGTGAAGGCACCTTATAATAAAATGTAGTCAACTTGTAATTATTACTGTAGTATTTGCTTTTAGTTTTGTTTTTGTTTTCAGATAAGTATGCTGAGCCTCATAAAAGGAATATATGACTCTTAAATTCAAGTTAGGCCCCCTTTTTTTTTTTTTTTGCAAACATGAGTCTTTGTAGTAAACGTGGATCTTTGTAGTGGTCCCTTTCCTCCCGTTGCTCTGTGCTTACTCCTCTTTCTTCCTATCAAAACCAGCTTTCTGGAAATACACTCATAGCATTTTCTGAAATAATAAAAATTCATATTAGGTTTTATACACAGACACAGACACACACACACACACACATGCGCATACACACAAACTTTAAATGAGGCAGATTTTTATTGTCTTTATCTCCAATGGTATCAAGTGGGAATAACTTTTCATTTACAATCACTGGCATGGAAAAGTAATTGAAAAGTAGAGTTGAGTGACAGAAGGATATTTAAAAGAGAAGAAAGAAAATTTTAGGAGTGAGTTGAAAGAAAAATACTAGCTATTGTTATTGTATGAAAGGTATGAACACAAGGAGAGAGAAAAAAAGAGAGGAAGATGGAAGAAATGGGAGGGACAGGGAGAGCTAGAGAAAGAAAAGACAAAAAAGACTGAAGGTCAGAAAAAAGAGAGGAAGTAGGGAAAGGCAAGAAAGAAATGGGAAAGGAAGGTATAAGGCAGGAAAAAGGAATGAAGGGAAAGAAACAAAAAGCAATTAAACAAAGAATGAGGTAGAAAGAAAGAAGAAAATACATGTACATTTCTAAAAGATAAAAGTGAAAGCAGACAGTAGCAGATCAGAACTTGTATTTAGAGACTTTGAAGTTAAGTTTCAATTATGAACATGGTGATATTTAATATGATAAAATCTCCAAGGTTGGATTTTTCTTTTTAACTTTGCTGAAGATGTGATATAGGAGATTGTAGATGGACATCTGGCATCTTTTAAAATAAAAAGTAAAAAATTTGAAGTTAATCAGGTCCTGAGCATCCTATTCATGTCTTAATTGTTCAAATGGAAAATCTTGATCCAGAGAAATTTGAAAGTTTAGACCCAAGTTCTTTGATAATTACTTATGATTAATCTTAAAGATAAGTTTTCCACAAATTATTACTTTACACATTTAAAAAGTATAGTTATCTTGATTTGATTATTGTAAAACTTGGGTGACAACTCATTAATGAGTCATAAGGTTGACTTAGATAGCAAACACAATTTATTTTAAAAAATGCAATAGAATAAATAAGAGTATATTAGAACTGAAATGTAAAACTGAGTGCAGCAGACGTAGGAATGGTAAATACTTATTTCTGAAGCTTTTGTTTTAGGCATATGTGGGTGTATACCCCAAAAGTAAGATGCTTTTCTCACTGCAGATGATAATCAAAAATGTTAGGAAAACACTGATCTGGGTGATATTGAACAAAAATTCATTAGGATATGAATATGTCATGTTCTCTGAGCTGTTTTAATAGTGTCTTTATTTCTGATGGGAGGAGGTTTATTTCATAATGTACCCATTTTGTTTTCCAGCCCATCATATTCCCAAAGTTAATTTTTCATTCAAAGGCATCACTTGATTAATGGATATATATATATATATATATATATATATATATATATATATATGAGATGCTTTAGTTCAACAGCATATGTCATTGGAGAATTTCAGGCTAAAACAACAGTAGGATATCACATCACACCTATTAAAATGGCCAAACCCCAAAGCACTGACAACACCAAATGCTGACAAGGATGTGGAGTAACAGGAACTCTCATTCATTGCTGTTAGGAATGAAAAGTGGTATAGCTACTTTAAAAGACAGTTTGGCAGTTTCTTAAAAAACTAAACCTACTTTTACCATATGATCCATCAGTCATGCTCCTTGGTATTTACTCAAAGAAGTTGAAAATGTATGTCCATACAAAAACCTGTACACGGATGTCTGTCACAGCTTTATTCATAATTGCCAAAACTTAGAAGCAACCAAGATGTTCTTTAGTAGGTGCATGGATAAATAAACTGTGATACGCCCAGACAATGAAATATTATTCAGTAAAAAGAAATGAACTATCAAGCCATGAAAAGACTTGGAGGAATACTAACGGCATATTATTGAATGAAAATAATCAATTTGAAATGGCTACCTGCTGTATGATTCCAGCTCTATGACATTATGGAAAAGGCAAAACCATGGAATCGGTAAAAGGATCAGTGGTTACCAGGGGTTTGGGGGAGGGAGGGATAATTAGGCAGAGCACAGAGGACTTTTAGGACAGTGAAACTGTTCTGTATGTTACTGCAATGGTGGACACATGTCATTATACATTGATCCAAACCCACAGAATATACACCAAGAGTTAGCCCTGATGTAAACTACGGACTTTGGGTAATACTCTGTTTCAATGTCAGTTCAGTGTAAGTTCATGGATTGTAGCATATGTACCACTCTGATGCAGGATGTTGATTGTAGGGCGGGCTGTACATGTGTGGGGATTGGGGTTTATGGGAGCTATCTTTACTTTCTGCCAAATTTTGATGTGAACTCAAAACTGCACTAAAAAGTTTATCAATGGATATGCACTTAAAAGGTTGATCTGTTTTGCCAAATTGACCCACTATAAGTTAGGTACATTTATTCTCCCATCAACGTTATATTCGTGAGTGTCAGTTTTCCTACACACCCACCAACTCTTTGTGTATAATTAATTTTCTTTTATCTATTTACCATACCAATATGTGAAAAATAGTACCTTGTTACTGTTTTAATCTGCATATCTTTAATTATGATTAAAGCTAAGTTTCTTTTCCTATGTTCATAAACTATTTAGACTTCATTTTATATCAATTGTTTATTCATGTTCTTTGACAATTGTGTAATTTTTAGAATTGATGATCATTAAAAAATTATCTGAATTTTTTTAAAGGTGCTTTGGGTCCTTTAGAAAGAGTCTTAATATAAGTCTAAAACAGAAGAAGCAATTAGCGCTATATGGTGAAAAACTATGGAGATAACATCAGATCAACTCTCACTCAGACCCAGCCTGTTCCTTAGGCAGCCTGGAGACCACCAGTGCCAGTGCTGCCCTGGCTCTTGGGGCTGTGAATTACAGAGCAACATAACCATTGCCTTCAGTACCATACTCTTAAATCAAATAATCTGGAAATCTTTCTCTTTTACTTCTTTTCCTCATAAAGAGGTAAAATGAAACTGAATGGGAGGCAGGAGGTAAGGGAGAAGTGGGCAATAAACAGACTTTTTAGCTAAGGAGTCAGAAGCTAGAGATGACACTGAAGAGAGGTAAACATACAAAATGGGAGAGGTTGCAGTCCTGCAGGGTGTTTGGATGGACTCTCCGGAGGAAAGCGCCAGCCCAAATGCTAACACTACTGTGTTATCTGCAGACTCTCCTCCAGATAATTATAGCAAATCAGACAAATCTGTTGTAGCCTCTACAAATGAGAGTGAGCGGCAGGGAGCTGTTCAGGCACTTCTGCCTCAACCAAACCACCCTGCCGCTGAGGTGCAACCTTTTGTTGACTCTGGTTGGGGCGAGTTCTGGGGACATGAATCTCCACCTATGGTCCTCACATCTCGACTTGCCGACCAAAGCACTGCTGGGAGCCAGGAAGAAGCCCAGGCAGCCACTCTACTCTTTGGATTTGCCACAATCAGTTACTAAGAAGGCAGTGAAAATTTGGGAGGCCAAGGCGGGCAGATCACAAGGTCAGGAGTTCGAGGCCAACTTGGACAATATGGTGAAATTCTGTCTCTACTAATAATACAAAAATTAGCTGGGTGTGGTGGTGGGCACCTGTAGTCTCAGCTACTCAGGAGGCTGAGGCAGGAGAATCGCTTGAACCTGGGAGACAGAGGTTGCAGTGAGCCAAGATTATGCCACTGCACTCCAGCCTGGGCAACAGAGCGAGACTCTGTCTCCAAAAAAAAAAAAAAAAAAAAAAAAAAAAAGAAATGCTTTACCCAGCAATTAAAACACATTTTATGTGGTCCAGTCTCACCTGCACAAATTAGGTATCTTATTAGTACCATTTTTTTGAGAGCCATTTCTGATTATCCAAGTCTGTTTACATTGGTTCAATATTACTGAAATGTTCAGGCCAGGTTGGAGGATACAACTTGGATACAACCCTTTTATGGCTCTGTTTATGAAGGAAACAGCTCATCTGCTAAAGCTTTGAACTCTTTGTCATAATTGGCAATCACAGAAAACCTCCTTTCCCTCTCCCTCCCCTACAACTGTTTGAATTACATTGAAATTATTTTTCCTGCCTCCAGAGGAAACGTCATTGGAATTCAGTTTCCTGGTGCACCATTTCCACATATACATCTGAAATAGACAATCCCAAATGTAGGTGAACCCAAAATTATGTTTTCATTGTTAGCCTTACAATAATTTCAGAACGTGTCCCCAAACCCCCCACCATAGCTCGTGTCTCTGTAATCCCCCTATCATTCCATTTGCATGCCTTTATTTTGTAGTCTACCTTCATGAGGGCAACGTGTCAGAAAGCATCCCGTCTGTAAGTGACTAGAGTGAAAATCATCCTCAACAAATCGGCAACAGGATTAGCTCAGAGCCACGCTAATAATGCCATCCTGTCAGCTTCCACGCTTTTGATAAACACTCCCTCCTAGAGAAGGATGTGGGGAAGTTATGTAATCATTTGGAAATATGTCAACATAGCCATGGGATTGGAGCAATTAAGCCTGCTCTTCCTTACGTAACTGCAGAGTAGGGCCAGAAAAGTGGGTATTTATACCCAATTTCATGACAACGTCTGGAGCCAATTCATTTGTTTAATATCTTCTTGTTTATATATAGTTGGAATTTCTCTGGGGAGGGGTGGCAGAAGGTGGGGAAAGGGAAAAGGAAGGTGGCAACAGCTTAACAGGAGAAAAACTAAATAGGAGATAGAGATTGTGTGTGTTGGGGACAAGGCTGACGTGACTTCCCATTTGCTCACCCCAAAATAGCAAAATAGCTCCTATTTCCTTTACGATTCTCCTGGACAAGCATCCTACCATGCCACTGGCTTCCTCTGCAGGAAGTGGACGCCATCACTGACACGTGCAACAATCTACAAATGCGTTGCTTGGCTGGTGTTCTGACATTGTCTGTGATGAACAGCGACAATGTTTCTGTCTCTTTTCATGCCAAATCTCATATAGTGTGGTAACTGAGACTCCCAGTGTGCCTACTCAATTCGGTGCACATTTCAGAATATCTTCCCGATTTCTAATCCCCCAATATCATGGTTTTAGGTTTTGTTTGTTTATTTTGGATTAAGTTTTTACATTACCCATTTTCTGGTCATTCATTACTCACACATCTGGGTTGCATCATTTCTTTGAAAGCAGAGAGAATCAAGTTAGCATTTCCAGTTCTCATCAGATCGATGACTCAAAGCCAGACAAATTTGGGTGGATTGGCAGCTTATAAGAAGTGACAGTGGACTTGGGCTGATGCTTCATGATGCGAATGACCACAGAGCTGGAATCCATTCCTATCAGACCCATTGCTGGGGTGCCGTCATGTGTTTGGGGTATTGGAGGTCTATTTCAGTTTCATGTGGTGGTTTCTTGGCTTGCACTTTGAGGCTGGTGTCTAGCTGGGATCATGCTTACCCTGCTTTCTCCACTCAGCATGGCTGCTTCCGTGGTGACTAATTGCAGGGGAGGTGGATTTCTAGGAATGAATGCAGTGTTTAGTCCGACGTCCTTGCGGTGTTTAGTCCGACGTCCGACATGGTTGTGGTCACTACTGTTTCTGATGCCAAGGGCCAGACCTTGAAGCAAGCCTGCTGGTGAAGCCATCACTATAGCTTGTCTCTGGAATCCCTGTTGTTTGGAGATGGAGAGTAGTGGGAGGTGGGAAGAAGAGATATGAAATCAGAGTCCGGCCTAGTCCCGAAGGGGAAGCCGTGGAGGGTGGAGGAGGGGAGAGGGCAGAGAGCACTTTTGTTAGAATGTTTCCTCTCCTTCCTTCCATCTTTTCTTTTGTCCTCTGCACACTTTTTTTTTTTTTCTCCAAACTCTTGTTTCTGATCTCATCTGGAGTTCATTCTTGACCTGCCTCTCTATTGTTAACAACCGTGCTAATGTCTGCCAGGTGTTTCCCACTGTAAGACTGCCTATAACAAGATGGATAAGAGAGGAAACTGTGAGGGGTCAAATATCGAAGACTTTGAGCCAAAAGTGAGGTCTGATGAAATAGTATTCTTTAAGCAAAGAAAAAAGTAAAACATTGGGAGGTTGCTGATATTACTGCCCATAGTATCAGCAGACTGTGGGTATGACACTTGCTGAGCACCAGTAACTATGATGTCAGCAAAGAATGCCTTCTTTCCAGAGACCTTAGCCCTCCAAGGTTTGAGGAAACTGTTAGATACTGTCCAAAAAATTCAGCCACAATTCCTTGCATGCAATACAGGAATAAATTAAGAGCCATCCTTTGAAATTTCAATAAATGCAGTTCAGTCTGCAAATAAGACACTTTTTCTATGTGCAGGAAAGCAGTCTTCATCAGAGAGTGGCAAAGGCAAAAGGTCATGTGAATGACCACAGAGCTGGAATCCATTCCTATCAGACCCATTGCTGAGGTGCCGTCCTGTGTTTGGGGTATGGGAGGTCTATTTCAGTTTCCTATGGTGGTTTCTTGGCTTGCACTTTGAGGCTGGTGTCTAGCTGGGATCATGCTTACTCTGCTTTGTCCACTCAGCATGGCTGCTTCTGTGGTGACTGAAGACATTTGTTTCAAGAAGGAGGTGAGTTCCAATTTAACAGTTGTGTGGAATGTGGAAAACGAGGGTATTAGGTTATGAGTGAAAAATTCCAAAGCAGAGAATAACAGAATAAATTTGTTTGATGATACTGGTGGGCTAGTCTAGGAGCTCCAACTAATCTGAGATTACTAATGACACCTGGTATGTGGCTGCCCCTCAGGACAATTTTACTTTCTGAGATTAAAGATATTACAGTGGATGTAATATATTAAGATGTACTTTATATAAATGACATACTATGTATATTCATGTATACTAGTATGTACATTTGTACACATTACAGAAAAATAAACAAAAACAAAACTTCTCCTTTAGGAATCTCTGAAATATGTATGTTTATGAGAGCTGTTGCTTGTGGATGAAGAAGCTCAGCAATGGAAGAGAAAATGATCTAAGACTCCACCACTTTGAGATTGAGTGACGGTGATGAGAGATAGGCTAATTATCTCAAAAGGAGTCCACTGCTTTTAAAAAAATCAATCTGTACAGACTACTTAGAGACTTGCTTACTTATGGTATTGTTGAAAGTCCCAGAAACATCTGGCTTCCACATATCCACTCCTTGTAACTATTTCCTCTGTTGGAGAGAACACTGAGTCTTCCTAAGTGACCCCATCCCACCATAAAACCCCTTGACTTGGTGTTTTTCTGAAAGGTTGTTTTTCCTGCATTTGAGATGAGCCTGTAACCAAAAGAATAGTGTGTTTTCTACCTATATGATGCTTTCAGTGTTTTATCCTTGGAATTGGTGCATTGACTTCTGCATTGCTCTTGTTTTGAGCTATGTAATTGGGTCATCCTGATTAAAAATGGCTCAGATTAACACAAAGTTTTAAAAAGGCAGTCTCATTTTCTCTTAAACAAAATATCATTGTTTCATCAGTCCTTTACTTTTCCATAAGGCAGAAGTCAAAAATTTTCAATGAATTCTTGAATATTAATCTTTATCATTGTAGTCTATCCAAGTTGAAGGAGATAAGGAGAAAATAAAACAAAACAATATATAACAAAAACTCTACCAGAATTTAAGTTCTCTATTTTTTTATATTGTGCTATTTGAAGGAAAGAATTGGTAAGTATGAGACATTAAAAATAGGACTGCCCAGACTATATTCTGGAGTCAAAAGCAATTCGGCTCAATCTCCTGTGCCTATTATATTTAGAGCTTTGCTTCTGTACATTGAGAATTAATGTTTAGAATACTAACTTCAAAGCATTGCAGCATCTTAAAATAAGTAACAAAAACATCCTATTATAGAAGAATGTCTCTTACCCTAATTCCACTTAACCACCTCTAGCATAACTGATTCTCTCTACATCTTTGGCAAAACTCACGGACTGATATCACGTGCTTCTGCACTCCTGTGGCAAGCATGTTGACACACTTTTTTTTCCCCTGCAGGTTGAGTTATATGTTTGCCAAGAGCCCATGGTATTTGTTCCCAAATCTGATTATGTCAGTTGTGCTTGTTCTTGTAATTACATAATTTAATTAAATATTATGTAAACTGATGAACTAAGGAGAAGAGAGCTGTTGTTTCTACGTTGACTGCTTTGAGGACTCAACAAAGCAAGTCACTAAAAAGTTACTATCAAAATATGTGAGGGCAAAGCAACTACAAAGGATTGAGAGAAAAAGTCATTTGTCAACCTAGATTCTTCCCTGAGATTAATTCACAATTGTCATTAAGCTCCTAATTCAGTTCAAATTGTCACAGGATCTTTGTGGTGTAGTTTTTCTGGCTGGAAACTTCTGTGACCGGTGGTGCCTTTGCCCAAGTTTTGCTTGGGCCCACTGGGCTCATTCTGCCCACTTGGCCTGGCAGGCTGCACTCTACTCCTGCTACTGGCCTGGATCCCATGCCTGCCAAGGGTGAGCCAGGCACAGAGCAGTGCGGAGTGTGTGAGTGAATGAGCATGGGATCTGGCCACTGTGCAGAGCCAGACATGCTGGCTGTAGCAGGGCGGGCAGCTCCAGGCACCAGCACGGGCCCTGGCCCCCTGTGAGGCTGCCGCTGGACTAGGTGTACTGCAAGCAGCTACCACGGCTGGCACAGGGGAATGTGGTGGTGCCCAGAAGCTTGGAGATGCCAGGAACTACAGAGCCCTAAAAAGGGTGGTGTCACATCCCTGGCTCTGGGGGCCCCAAGGCCTGGGTTCTCCAAAGGGCTGCCACTCTTCTCTCCTCATCACCCACAATGTAGTGAGCAAGGGGCATGTCTCAGCCCTGTTTATGTTGCAGCTCTTTCAGCTCCCCCATTTGGCAGCTCCCAAGTTCTTGTCCCATGTCCAGGAAGAATAAGGTATCTGAACAAGTGGAGGGTGAGCAAGGCAAAGAGGTGCTTTATTGAGCAACAGAAGAGCTCAGAGGAGACCCACAGTGGGTAGCTCCTCTCCGTAGGCAGGTTGTCTTGTCATATGCCCAGTGTATCTAAATTTGGGTTTTTATGGGCTTCAAAGGGGAGGAAATGCCTGCTGACTGGTCCATGGGCAGCCATGGGCAGGCCCAGAAAAAGCACAGTAAGTTCTCACTCCAGTCCATGGAACTGGCAGCCCGGCCCTCAGGCCTCAGGCCTTCCCTCGTCTGAAGGTGGGGTTTCACCAGGGACCTGCCTCTTTCCACCCAGGAGCCTGTCTGCCTTCTGCTGCCGTTAACCTGCTGCTGTCCACGCTGCCCACAGAGCCAAGGTTGTTCGTGCCCATGGTGCCTGCATTCCTGTGCTGAGCCGCCCTTAGTCCCCACTCAGCCTCCTGCCAGTGCTCCTCAGTGCCCAGAGTCCGGAGGGGGCCGAGGTGGCAGTGGGCTGGCTTGTCAGCACTGCCCTGAACACACACACAGCTGCCAGGTCATGATAGAGCCCTGGCTGGGCCATAACTTTGCTCGGAAATAGGAGCAGTCACCGGGAGTGGGGAGAGGCCAGGCAGAAGGAGCAGGAACTTCCGAGCCTGCAGGGCAAGGTCGGGTGGGGGGCGGCTTCCCAGGTCCGCAGCTGCAGCCGCAGCTGTGTGGCTGCAGCTACAACTAGGAAGGTAGGGCCCCCGCCCCTCCAACTTGGAAGCGGGCGGGGCTTTCGCCTGTTCCCAGATCCGCTCAGCTTCGTGGAGCACGCAGCCCCGAAGGCGCCTCCCCCACTGCAGCCAGCGTCATGGCAGCCCACTTCAGACAGGCTGACACTGCCATCAAAACTGGCAATCAAGGAGATCACCTTGATTTGTGTGACTGCAGCTGAATCACAGAATCACTAATTTCAATTCTGTCGGCTAAGAGGACTTTCATTACATTTAGTACGCTGTTTTTGAGGCAATAGAGTATCTCTATACTACTTATTCATTTATTTATTCAACAAACGAATATTAACCATGCGCTATGTTCTGGGACCTATGCTAGGCCTAGAATTTAAGGCCGTTGCCCTTAAGGGTCTTATGTTTAGTGGGGAGAGAAAGACACTTAAACAGATGATAGCAATGTAGTTGGAGTTTTGAAGATGAGTAAGAGTTGGCCAGATGAGTAAGGCAGAGGGATTACTATTGGTAAGAACTGGAACTATGAAAGACTGTGTTGTTTAAGAGGACCACTTGAGGTAACAAAATGGGAAGTTAATAAGGTTGGCATTGGCCATGAGGTGGTGGGTCTATATACTGAACTCTGAAAATTTTACTTTATCATGAAGGCTGTGAACAGCTGCTGAAGGTTTTTAAACCAGAGTGAAGATCAAATGTGTGTTTTAAAAGAATTACTTGGGCATTCACTTGGAGTTTAGATTAGAGGAACTAAAGATTTAAACCAAAGATACCAGTGAGGAGGCTACTGCTCAGTTGAAAAATGATGAGTATTTGAACATCTGTACTAATGCGCTCTTAATAGTGAACTTGTATGTGGAGAGAACAAGAAGAGAGAGAGAGAAAGAAATAACAGGTCCATTTCTGAAACTTCATCCCACTAGGATTTAATCAACTGTGGTCCTACCAACATATATAACATTCTTTTTTTTTTTTTTTTTTTTTGAGACAAAGTCTTGCTCTGTCACCCAGGCTGGAGTGCAATGACATGATCTTGGCTCACTGCAACCTCTGCCTCCTGGGTTCAAGTGATTCTTCTGCCTCAGCTTCCCAAATAGCTGGGATTACAGGCGCCTGCCACCACACCAGGCTAAATTTTGTATTTTTAGTAGAGACAGTGTTTCACCATGTTGGCCAGGCTGATTTCCAACTCCTGACTTCAGGTGATCTGCCCACCTCTGCCTCTCAAAGTGCTGGGATTACAGGTGTGAGCCACTGTGCCTGGCCAACATTCTTTTTTATTAAAATATTTAATTGAGAATTGATTATTAAGAATAGTAAAACTGAATTTTAGAATAATATGGTAGGGAATAATGAATAAAATTATTCTAATATTGTTGAATCAATAAATCATATAAATTATATGTAAATTATAGCAATAATGCTTCTAATTTAGGAGAATGGTTAGTGGTCTAAAATCTACTTTTTTTCATTGATCCCACACTAGTTAGCGTAACAGAGGTAGCCTTTTCAGATGAAGAATTTCAAACTTTGTTTTCCCTGAGAGTATCCAGACATGACTTTTAGAAGTTGGTTTAATTATGAACTGGACTGCAGTAGTTTGCCATGATTCTAAACATGATACTGCCTAAATTTAGAATAGATTCCTGCCCACTGAAAGTCCCAAGTTGAATTTGCTAGAAAATATCAAAAGCTAGGGTTGGAAAAGGAGGGCATAAAAGACAGTTTTGACTTGGGGCCATTATTCTCAGCTTATGGATATGTTTAAACAGAACAAACCCCAGAATAAAACACAAAACAAATATCATTCCACAAAGTTGAAAACATAATTTTCTAATAAATATTCATATATATTTAATTAGTAAAACTGCTCCACATCCTCTTCTGTGATAGAAAAAAAGCCAGTTATGCTGAAAAACTCTTTATCAAAGGTATTTTAAAACCAGGTGACATATTTTTATATGTTGAGTGATTTTCAAGTCATTGTGTCAACACTAATTTTCAAAGGAAAATATAAAATCATATTTCTGCTTTAAAGATTGGTATTCAACTTTACCTGGAAAATGATGTTATTAAGGTCTGAGCCAGGACAATGCCTCCTCAGGCAACAGATATAAAAGCCCAACTCTTAATATGCAGTAAGTCTGAAGCTAACATCTTTACTCTGCTCACTTTCTTACTTTGTTAGTTAAATGTGTATTGTGCCATGGAAAGCTGTGGCACATCTGCTAACAATGCACTTTTCATTATTCAAAGCCTTAAAAAAAGATCTTAGTAATTTTGCAGTTCTGAAGATTAGATTGTCATAAATGTCCAGCTATATAAGATCAGAATTAAATCATTTGTAAGCAAAGTAGCTTAGAAACTAGCAAAAAACACTTCAGAATTTCTGTATTCTTCTCTATATTCACAACACCGTGCTGCAGGTAATTTTGAGGTGGCAGCACTCCATTTATTGTACAATTATGTCATGTTATTTTCTTATTGCCACAAAGCTGCCATGAAGCATGCTCCATATATGCCTGAAGAGTTTACCTTGTGTGAATATTTGCATTAAATAAATGAAAATTCACCTCTTTCTACAGATATCATGCAGAGACACAAAAGTGTTCCCTGCTATTAGAAGTGGGCTTTTACCCATAAAAATTGTAAATGAATTTTTGGTTGATTTGTTCCATTTATATAAAATAGATTGAACATGCAGCTTTATGAAAATGTGTTTATTTAACCAGAAACCACAAATATTTTTAAGAATGCACTTTCCTATTTAACTTTTAATTCCAGGATTTCTCTTTATGAATGTTCATAGTGATTTTATTGAACTGTAAGCTAAAATAAATGCACCAGTGGGATTTTATAGTGTTTCTTTTTTTTCTTAACAAAATGTTTGTTTGGGATAGAACATAACTTTAGAGCCATGATTGATAGATGGTTGAAATAAAATAACTGCAAAAGCAGAGAGAGCAAATTCAGGACAACTTCACTCTGAATATTTAACCATCCAGGGCAATGTAAACGCTAACGGACAAAGGAAATCTCCCAGAGTAATTATGCATTTTTATTGTGATTAAAAATTCCCACATGACCATACCTTTCTTCATTTGCAGCCTCAGCAAGAAAAAAGTGGATCCTTTATACAGTAATTTTATGACTATTTTGAAATGCTAGGAAGCCAAATAGAAATAGCGGTGTCCATTGTGAACATTGGTGCTTGTACTCTATTCTCTGCAAAAAGCATGCAAATATACATAGATAATAATTAGTTATAGAATTTAAATAACATCTGAAGAAAACAAATGCATCCAGAGAAATGAAGTCAAAGTACAGATGTATTTTGGTTATCCTGTCGGTAATTCATGCTAGATAATCATGAACCCAGCAGTTAATGACCTCTACTCTGATACATTAAGTCCAACCAAAGATAATCGTGTCCTGGGCAAATTAACAAACCCAGTGGTAAACTTGCTTCCAGTTCAGCAGGAGACAGTGTGCAAATTAGCGTAAGTTCTTAATAAGATCAGTGTCCTGCAATCCTCAGTTCTTCAGTGTTCATAATGCTGTCTCTTTTCAGGTGAAAATTGTTTCTCCTGAGAAGCCTTACACAATACGTTCTCTTGACAGAGATCGTTGTCATCCTAATCAGTCCCCCACCTTAAAACTTTCTCCATTTTTCCCACTTTCATGCTGTGAAGGCTGCTGTGAGTTGTTGAGAATGATTATTCATTTGTAAGCTTTTTTAATAACATTTTTGTTAGATGTTGAGGTTCCCGGTGGAGTCAACGAAGAACTTGATTTTATAATTATAACCATTCATAAAAAGTTACGGTCAGTGTGTGGGTAATCTTGGTGGAATTTACTAATCACCACCTTACATATCTTTTTTCAAACAGAATTTATATTTTGTTGAATAACTGGAACACCCATAGACAAGTAGGTGCTGAGTTACTTTGTAGGACACTGGATCTCTTAGGCATCTATGTCTGTCCTAGGTTACATTTGGAAAAGAATAAGACCTGCAAGGAAAGAAGGGGGTTATTTTTAAAATCCACTTGAAAGGCGTGTTTTACTACAGAGTTTGGAAAATTACCTATATTTGAAAGCAACTATTTTTGTAAAACCTTGTGATACATATGATATTGGTGCATATCTGCTATTTTTTTGAAATAAGTGTATTTAGCTTCATAGAGTACCTGCTAAAAATGATATATGGAGTCTTAGTATTTCAAAGAGATGACACTTAAGTGTCTAAACAAGTAAGGAGTGTGCTTGTGCATGTGTGTGTGCATGCTTGTGTATGTACATTTATGTGTTTACAACCACCTATCTTAGAGTTGAAGCACAAGATGATGAAAGAGTGCATGCATATTTCCATGGGTTTGGAGTGTTTGGGATACAAGTTCTCATACATTATCTGTCAAAAGTTTCGTAAGCTAAAAAAAGTTAAATACATGAATCTTGTCTGAAGAATCCTCTCGTTGTAAAATGTTTACCTTTTGTGACACATATTATTATTTCATGATTATGTTAAAATACTCTTAAGGAGTTTTACATGTTAACCAGCTACTAAGAATGCCTTAATAGAGTACTAATTTTTGTTAGAGGTGTCTCGACAATTTGAATTTTATATGCATGCATTATATTTTCTAAAAATGGGAAAATTATGCATCTGAAGGAATCTGTCTAGAATAATGGGGTTCTATAGAGGTTACTTTAATCACGTTCTCCAGCAGTTATAGCTGTTTTACATCTTATTTGCAACAAAAGGGAACTCTAATTATCTTCAAAAAGAGCATAAAATGGTGTGTCTTGCTGCTGATGTAATGTTGATTCCTGAATGCTGCTGATAGGAACTGACAACTAAATGCATGTCACACTTTTCAAAAATCAGCCGTGGTGACAGGATAACCACCTTTTGTGACCTAGGAGCCCAAAAAGGGAGTATATATTTGCCTGTTAAGTAGAAACAATTTGCAGTCTTTCTTTTTTAAAAATAAAAATACACTTGTCCTTAGGTTAGCAATAATTTATTTACTAATGTTAAAACTTGCTTGTGTGATTTAAATTTTTAGTAGCCTTCTATTGTAAATTATACCAAGTGCATTTAATCTCAGTTTGAACCATGGGAGAGGAGAGTATACTGAATGTCTGACCCCTCATTTCCTTGCTTTTTTTTTTTTTGGCCTATATACATAGGTGGGTATATATTTACACCCAATACCAGAGTTCTGCAATATGTGATTAACATGTGCTTCAGTTTTATATCCAACTCACATGGATCTCATTTATAAACACAAATGAGATGCATATAGCCTATTACAAAATATTAAAATTAGAATTGAAAAGAAGATTGCATGTTTTAAGCCTGGCTGCAGTCGTCGTGTTATACAGTGTTTGTGAGATTGAACTGGTTGATTCTGAGCCCTACATATGAAATTAATCAGTGCAGGTCTGTAATATACTGCAAATAACCAACCTGTACCACAAGACTTGATTTAAGGTTCACATTAAGTGATGGTGAGCTGGTTTAGAAAAGAAGTCACACATCCATACACAGCATGTTCAAATATACAGAACTCAGCTGCAAAACTAAGGTTGAGCCTTTGTGAACAATAAAACTTATAGTTTACACTCAGGCCGACTTTTATGGACAACAGTGACATGACATCAGATCCTATTGCTTCTATCTGTCTTTATTCCTCTCCTGCCTAGAGTAGGAGATTTGAAGGGGGTTAGGGGGCAGAGGTGAAGACCAGAGGAGACATTTACCTGTATCATATAGTAAATTACATAAAATATATCTCTATTACGATTGCTTAGACCAGAGCAGATTTTTAGTGAGCTCTGAATTTTGAACATATAATACACATTTATTGGTCAACTATTCACAAAATGAATTGTTACTTTTAGAATTAAATCGGCATTCGCTTTTTTCCTTTGCCTGGCTATCATTCAAGTTTTCAATAATACAACTGAACTATAAGGAATCATACTAGGCAGAGAGACAGACAGAGAGAGAGAGAGAGTTAAAAATAGAAGGAGGAGGCCGGGCACGGTGGCTCACATCTGTAATCCCAGCACTTTGGGAGGCCAAGGTGAGTAGATCACTTGAGGGCAGGAGTTTGAGACCAGCATGGTCAACATGGTGAAACCCTGTCTCTACTAAAAATACAAAAATTAGCTGGACATGGTGGTGCACACCTGTAATCCCATCTACTCAGGAGGCTGAGGCAGGAGAATTACTTGAATCCCAGAGGTGGAGGTTGCAGTGAGCCGAGATTGCGCCATTGTACTCCAGCCTGGGCAACAAGAGTGAGATCTATCTCTAAATAAATAAATAAATAAATAAAAGGAGGGATGCAGAGAGGAGTGGAAGAAACATACATCTGCAATCAAGTTTGATAAAATATAAATAATCTCAAATAATTATTTGCCTTTTAGGATATGTGTACCTTCTACTTCAAATATAGTAAATAAAAATGGGTAGAAATGAAACCTTACATTTGAGCAGATGATATAACTCGAATGTATTCCTTCATTCCTCCAACAAATATTACCGCAACTTCTCTTGAAGGAGGTAAGTAGCCTAGGTCCTGAGGACACAGAAGTGAACAATGCCACTAAAGAGATGACATTGTAGTTGAGGAGATACAGGATATGATTAATAATCAAATTACAATCCTGATAAGGTCAAAGGAAAGTGCGAGGTACTCGGAAGTTAGGGAAGATATTTTTGAGGAAATGGTGCACAGGTTACAGAGGGTAGGAAGCAAGCGAAAAGTGATGGCTGTCCAGATTGTTTGCAACTGTAGAGTGTAAGAGATGAATAATGTCCCTGGAATTTAGTCATTCTTATACTCCCTTGGTGGTAAAAGCAGTGATACTCTTCACTGTTCTTTGCTTCTTAGATCAAGGAAAGATTCTTGAGTGCTCTGTGACTGTGATGATAGAAAAGCATTTTCTATTGTCCAAATTAACTAATTTCTTTAGTTGTGAATATAGAATGGTATGTGAAAAAGACTAGCTCCAACAATTTCTTTTTTTTTCTTTCTTTCTTTTTTTTTTTTGAGAAAGAGTTTCACTTTGTTGCCCAGGCTGGGGTGCAGTGGCACGGTGTTGGCTCACTACAGCCTCCGCCTCCCAGGTTCAAGGAATTCTCGTGCCTCAGCCTCCCACTCCAACAATTTCTAACTGTGTAACTTGGGGCAATTTACTTGGAGTCTCCATTTATTCATTTGTAAAATAGAGAAAACACCGACATTACTGGGTTATTGTGAACAGCAAAATACATATAACATCACACCTAGTACACAATAGGTACTCAGAAAAACGAATCTCTAGTTAAATTAGTTAGTAATTAGTAAACAAAGATTTTCTGGAAGAGATTTTGAGATACAAATGGAAGAAAATAAAAGCAAAGAGTTGGACATTAATGGAGAGAGTGATTCCCAGAATGCCTGCTACCTAAAAATCCCTTAGGCAAGAATACCTTACTCCTTGCTCACTTTCAAAGCTCCACCATCAAATAACCCATCATGTTCCTGTCCTTGGAATTTCAACCTCTCCAAGCCGGATGTCTTCATTCTGCTTTCATTTTTCCTATACCCTTACCTGGCATAGGTTGTATCAGAATTTCAGCAAGTTAGTTTTATGGGATATTAATACATGTTATATGTAAAAAATAAACCAAAAGTTTTTTGGCCAAATTAATTTAGGAAGCTCTGGCTATATAAAGCCAACCCTTCACAGAACTTCTTTATTTTTTAACTTTTATTTTAATTTCAGAGGAACATGCAGGTTTGTTACATAGGTAAAATTGCTTCATGGAGTTTGTTGTACAGATTATTTTGTCACCTAGGTATTAAATCTAGTACCCATTAGTTATTTTTCCTGATCCTCTCCATCTTCCCACTCTCCACCATCCAATAGGCTCCTGTGTATATTGTTCCCTTCTGTGTCCATATGTTCTCAGAACTTCTTTTCCTTTCTTTTTTTCTTTTTCTTTTTTTTTTTTTTTCTTCTGGAGATGGAGTCTTGCTCTGTCATCCAGGCTGGAGTGCAATGGTGCAGTCTTGGCTCACTGCAACCTCTGCCTCCCTTGTTCAAGCGATTCTCCTGCCTCGGCTTCCTGAGTAGCTGGGATTACAGGCACCTGCCACTACGCCCAGCTAATTTTTGTATTTTTAGTAGAGATGGGGTTTCACTATGTTGGCCAGGCTGGTCTCGAACTCCTGACCTCCAATGATACACCCACTTCAGCCTCCCAAAGTGTTGGGATACAGGCGTGAGTCACTGCATCCAGCCTGTTCTCAGAACTTCTTAGTAAGCTTATGTGCATTATGTACTCCTCAACCCAGGCCCACCTTCCAGAAAGTAGCATGGTGTACCTAAGTGTTCTAAATGTTCTTAACGTATCAGAGCATCTGGAGAAATACTTTTTCCCTAGAGGAACAAAGATCTCTTTGCTCCTGTTGGAAACTTTAATATGGTCTGTCTCATTTTCTCTTTCTCACATACACTCACACATTTCTCTTGCGAGAAAAATGTTTATTAAAACTTGAAAGATTCTCAAGACAGTGTAGTAGGCATGAGGATGGAAATGCAGATCAAGGAAATAGAATTGAGAGTCCAAAAATAAATCTTCACATTTATGAGTCAGTTAATTTTTGACAAGGGTGCCCAGGTGATTAAAAAAGAAAAGAATATTCTTTTTGACAAATGGAACAATTGGAGGTCCACATGCAAGAGAACAAAGCTAGACCCCTTCCTTAACACCACACACAAAATTAACTCAAAACATATCATAGACCTAAATGTAAGAGCTAAAACTATACAGTCCTTAGAAAAAAAATGTAGGGGTCATTCTTTGTGACTTAGGGTTGGATGGTGGTTTCTTAGTTATAATACCAAAAGCACAGTAACAAAATAAAGAATGTAAATTGGATATTGTCAACATTAAAAAATTTTGTGCTGCAAATAGTACCATGAAGAAAGTGAAAATAGAACCCACAAAATGAGAGAACATATTTGCAAATTATATATTTGATAAGAGGTTTGTATCCAGAGTATATAAATAACATTAATATTAATTAATAAAAATACAAATAACCCAGTTTGAAAATGGGCAAATGCTTTGAACAGACATTTCTCCAAATAAAATACATAGTTAATAATCATATAGATATATATACACTCAACAACATTAATTAGAGAAAAGCTAATTAAAATCACAATGAGATATTATTTAACATCCACTAGGATGTTTATAATTTTAAAAAGACACATAATAAATGTGTTGTCAAGGATGTAGATAAATTGGATCTCTCTTATATTGCTAGTGGGAATGTAAAACGTTGAAGCCACTTTGAAAAACCATTTGGCAGTTTCTCAGTAAGTTAAACAGAGTTACCATATGATCCAGGAATTCCATTCCTAGGTATATGCCCAAGAGAAATAAAAACATGTGTACCCACAAAAATTTGTACATGAATTGCTCATAGCCACATTATTCATAAAAAACAAAAAATGTAAATAATCCAAATATTCATCATCTAATGAATGGATAAACTAAATATGGCATATTCGTACAATGTAATATTATTTGGGAATAAGCAGGAACAAACTACTGATAGATACAACAACATTAATAAACCTCATAAATGTGATGTGAGTGAAGAGCCAGCCCCAAAAGCCACATAGTGAATAATTCTACTTACATGAAATGTCCAGTATAGGCAATCTATAGAAAGGTAAAATAGCCTAGAGCTGTAGGAAGGTGAAGGAGGAAGGGGAAATCACTGCTGTTGGATATAATGTTTCTTTGGGTAATTAAAAAAATGTTCTAAAATTAGATTGTGGTGATGGTTGCACAACTCTGCAAATAATATTAAAAACATTGAATTGTATATTTTAGGTGGGCACACTTTATGGAATGTAAATTATATCTTAAAAGAGCTGGGGTTTTTTTAGAAAAAAAAAAAAAAAAAAAAAGCACTAGATGATAAAAATGTTGAAGGATTCTGCTAGTCTTGGATAAGACTCACCAGGATGAGACGCAGGGTCTTCCATAATTTTCTAAAATAAAAGCATTGGTAGGGAAATAGAAATCCAAATATCACCAAGTATTTAAGAAAATAGTATCAAACTCAAATTAATTATCATAAAACAAAATAGTTTGTGAATGTAAGTAGCATATACTCAAATTTACACACAGAAAAATAAAACTCTGGGAGATCACTGCTATCTACTTACTGTCACCATTGTGACTAGAATATTGACTTCTCACAGCATACATTTTTGTTTTACAGAGTTGTATTCTATAATTTTAGAAGAGTACTGTGTTTATTGGAAACACAATGCACTTCTAAAACCAAAGAAATAGTTGGTATTTATCTGGACTGTCAAACCTGCATAATGTATCTAAAATGTATGTACGTATATATATAAAATACATAAATAAAAAAGAAAATATTTCATTTTATATCTGAGTGCTTTTTATGCAAAGAATCTTTATAAACTACTGACCTGGAAGTAATATTACTTTTAAGGAGGAATTTTGATTTAATCACTTGGCACTTCTCTATTTTTGTTAACTTTACATAATACATGAAGGAAAACTTATGTTTAAACTCTGTGAAGCTAATTCCTTCTTTCATGACTTTTAAGTAGATACAAGGAAGAAAATTTTTTTAAAGACTGAGGCATCATTTTTAGACCTTAGTATTACTAGTATATTGCTTAATCTAGATAGGATTAAATATATAGCAATCTGCAGAAGTTTTTTCCTTGAATTGAATTATTTTTATATTTATTTTAGATAACCAATATTCCTGAAATTATGTGAGTGCAGATCTATGGTAAAAGGAGGAATGGATAAACTGGAAAAAAGCTACTATGTTTGCATTTCTCTAATGGCAAATGACTTTGAGTAAATTTTCATGTGCTTATTTGCCATCCATATATCTTCTTTGGTAAAAATGTTGCCAATCTTTGGCCTATTTCCTAATTGGATTGTTTGTTATTTTACTGTAGAGTTGTGAGAGGTCTTTATTTATTTTAGATACTAGTTTGTCATATGACATGCAATTTGCAAATATTTATTCCCAATCTGTAGCTTGTCTTTTATCTTCTTACTAGAATCAGTTACTGAACAAAATTGTTTAATTTTGATGGAAATTCAGTATTGGTGTCAAGCCTAAGAACTCTTTGCTCAGTCTCAGATCCTAAAGATCTTATTCTATTTTTTTCTAAAAGTTTTATGATTTTACATTTAAGTCTGTGATCCAAATTGAGTCAATTTTTATATAAAGTGTGAAATGTAGGTTGCAGTTTGTTCTTTTGCTTTTGGATGTCCAGTTGCCCTAGCACCAGTTTTTGAAAAGTCTATCTTTCCTCTATTCTATTGCTTTCAGATCTTTGTTGCAAATAGTTCTGTGGATCTAGTTCTGGATTCTATATTCTATTTTATTGATCTATGTCTTAATTACTGTAGCCATATAATGTCTTGAAATCAAATAGCTGGACTCCTCTCACCATATTCTGCTTTTTCAAAATTGTATTAGCTCTTCTATTTCTAATGCTGTTCCATATAAATTTAAGAATAATATTGCCTACATTTAAAAAAATCTGGCCGGGCGCGGTGGCTCACGCCTGTAATCCCAGCACTTTGGGAGGCCGAGGCGGGCGGATCACGAGGTCAGGAGATCGAGACCATCCCGGCTAAAACGGTGAAACCCCGTCTCTACTAAAAATACAAAAAATTAGCCGGGCGTAGTGGCGGGCGCCTGTAGTCCCAGCTACTTGGGAGGCTGAGGCAGGAGAATGGCGTGAACCCGGGAGGCGGAGCTTGCAGTGAGCCGAGATCCCGCCACTGCACTCCAGCCTGGGCGACAGAGCGAGACTCCGTCTCAAAAAAAAAAAAAAAAAAAAAAAAAAAAATCTTTAAAAATGTTTAATAAGAATTGCATTTAACCTGTATATTAATTTGGGAGAATTGACTTTTTTTCTATGTTGTCTTGCCAATCAATGAACATGGTCTGTCTCTCCATGTATTTAGATTTGTTAATTTTCATCAGCATTTTGTAGTTCTCTCAATATAAGTCCTGTACCTTCTTGTTAGATTTAATAGCTAAGCATTTATTTTTCATTTTTGGCTTGTAAATTGTATTATATTTTAAATTTCAGTGTCCCGCATGTTTATTGCTGGTATAATTAAATTCAACTGACATTTGTATATTCATCTTATGTCCCTGTGACCTTGCTGAATTCACTTATTAGTTTTAGGTCTTTGGGGTTTTACCTTTAGATGTATTTCTTAGATTTTGAAATGTCTTCAGGCTCATTCTTCCACAGTTCAGATGAATAGCATTTGGTGTCCTTCTCTCCATACTAATCTCCCTATCAAATGGTCACTTGGCCGCATCCTTGGTGTTCTGTCCCAAACATGCTTTTTCATTGATTACAACATGGCCAGGCTGATAATGTTTCAGATCTTTAAATTCTCCTTCCCTTTTGATTATGGATTCTATCTTGAAGTCATCACTCTCACATTTTACTATAAGCAGTCAAGAAGAGCCATGGCACTTCCTCAAAACACCTTCCTTAGATATTTCTTCTACCAGATATCCTATTTCATTGCTCACAAGTCCTCCTTTCTCAAAACACTAGGATATGAACACAATTCACTAAGATTTTCTTTTGCTACTTTATAACAAAAATTGTCTTTTTTCCAAGTTTTCAATATCATGTTCCTCGTTTTCATCCAAGACCTCATCAGAATGAATTTTACTATCCATGCTTCTACCAACACTCTGTTTATAACCACGTAGGTAATCTCTAAGAAGACAGAGGCTTTCTTTACAGGCCTCTTCTTCTGAACTCTCACCAGCATGACTCTTAATACTCCATTCATGGCAATGTAGGCTTTTTTTAGTATGCACCTCAAAACTCTTGCAGCCTCTAGGCCGGGCGCAGTGGCTCACGCCTGTAATCCCAGCACTTTGGGAGGCTGAGGTGGGTGGATCACCTGAGGTCGGGAGTTCGAGACCAGCCTGACCAACATGGAGAAACTCCGTCTCTACTAAAAATACAAAATTAGCCACGTGTGGTGGCATATGCCTGTAATCCCAGCTACCTGGGAGGCTGAGGCAGGAGAATCGCTTGAACCCAGGAGGTGGAGTTTGCAGTGAGCCGAGATCACGCCATTACACTCCAGCCTGGGCAACAAGAGTGAAACTGTGTCTCAAAAAACAAACAAATCAAACAAACAAACAAAAAACAACTCTTGCAGCCTCTACTCAATACCCAGGTTCAAAGCTACTTCCACAACTTTAGGTGTTTGTTAGAGTAGCACTTCACTCTCAGTACCCAATATCTGTCTCAGTCTGTTAAAGCTGGTATAATCAAATTAGCAGCTTTAGACTAACTAATTTGTAAACAACAGATAATTATTTCTTGCAATTCTGGAAGCTGTGAAGTTCAAGGTAAAGGTGCCAGCAATTTCAGTGCCCAGTGAAGGCTTGTTCCTGATAGATGGTGCCTTTTCTTTGTCCTCATAGGGTGGAAGGGGGAAACAAGCTCCTTGCCTCTTTTATAAGGGAACTGCTTCCATTTATAGGGGCTTTACCTTGATTACCCAGTAACCTCCCAAAAGGCCCCACTTCTCCGTCACCTTGTGGTTAAATTTTAACATACAAATTATTTTTTTTGGTTGCATTGTAGTTTGTGTTTTTCCAGGAATTTATGTGTATAGAGGGATTTGTATTTCCTTAATATCTATTTGATGTCTGCAGAGTCTGTACTGATGTTTCCTGTTTCGCTTATGATATTGGTAATGTCAATTTCCCCTCATTTTTCTTATTCAGTCTTACTAGAGGTTTGATTTTTTTTTTATATTTCCAAAGAACTAGCTCATTGTTTTATTAATTTTTCTCTATTTTTTAAAAAATTTAGTTTCATTGATTTCTGCTCTTTATTTTTTTCTTTTGTTTACTTTGGGTTTCTTTTACTCATTTTTCTAGCTCCTGAGTGGGCGTTTAGATTATTGAGACTTTCCCTCTTTCCTAATTAACGTACTTTGTGATATAACTTTCCCTCTCAGTACAGTTTTGTCTGTGTCCCACAAGTTTTAATGTTTAATTTCATTTAATTCAATATTTTTTAATTTACTTGAGACTTCTTGATCCTTTGATTATTTAGAAATATGTTGTTTAGTTTCCAACTATTCCAGTGTTCTCCTGTTATCTTTATGATATTAATTTCTACTTTGATTTCATCATGATCAGAAAACATACTCTGTATGATTTCTCTTCTTTAAATTTTTTGAGGTTTATTTTATAGACCGGTATATGGTCTATCTTGGCATATATTCTGCTGACATTGAAAGGAATGTGTATTGTGTTGGCTTTGGATGGAGTGTTTTATAAATGCCAATTAGATTTTCTTGGTTGATGGTGATGAGTGTTCTTATATCCTTGAAAATTTTCTTCCTAATAGTTCTATCAAATATTAAAAATATTTGATGTCTCTAATCATAATTGAAAATTTGTTTATTTTTCTTTTCAGTTCTGTCAGATTTTGCTTCATGTATTTTTCAGCTATTGTTTAGTGCATATACTTTTAGAATTGCTATGTCTTTTATTAATAGTTTGATCCTATTATTATTATATAATGTTCTTTTATATTCCTTTCCTCTGATATCTACTTTACCTGAAATTCATATTTATACTCCTGTTTATTCTTGATTAATATTTGTATGATATATTTTTCTATTTTTTTTTTAAATTTCAACCTGCCTATATGGTTATATTCTAAATGAGTTTCCTGTAGATTACATATAGTTGGGTCATGTTTTTTTTAAGCCACCTCTCAATCTCTACCTTTTAATTGCATTTAGACCATTTCCATTTAATGTAATTATTCATATGGTAGGTACTAAGTCTGCCATTTTATTTTTTGGTTGTATGTTTTTTCTTTCTGTTTTTCATTGCCCTGTTTTATTTTAACTGCCTTCTTATAAGTTATTTGAACATATTTTATAATTACATTTTCACCTATTTATAATGTTTTTGAATGAATCTCTTTTTTAGCTTATAGTTGATTACTTTGTGTATTACATTAAATATTACTTATCTCAGTTTATTGGTGTCATTTCACCAGATTCAGTGAAGTATAGGAATCTTACCTGCCTTTATATCATTTTATTTTCTCCCATTTATAATAGTATAGTCTTAAATATTTACCTGCATTTAGAACCAAATCAGATATCATCATGACTTTTGTTTCGACTGTCAAACATAATTGAGAAGACTCAAGAAAAGAAGAAAAATCTAGTGTATTTACCCACACTTTTGCTTATTCTATTTATTCTTTCTTCCTGCTCTTCCAAGATTCCTTTCTTTATTGTCCCCTTTTCTATTAAAAAACTTCCTTAGCCATCCTTTTAGGGTAGGTCTGCTGGCAATACATTCTCTTAGTCTTCCTTTATCTGAGAATGTCTTCGTTTCCCCTACATTCCTAAAGGATATTCTTGTTCTGTGTGTGTTTGTGTGTGTGTCTTTTTTTTTTTTTCCTTTTAGCACTTACAACATGTTATGCCACTTCCTTCTGGCCTTCATAGTTTCTGATGGGAAACCCACTCTAATTTGAATTGCTTTCCTTTATAGGTAAAATGTCTTTTCTTCTTCATTGCTTAAAGACATTTCCTTTTTCTTTAGTTTTCACAGATTTGATTATCATGTATCTTGTCGTGAATTTCTTTGGATATATCCTATTTTGCATTGATTAAATCTCTTGCATATATCGATTTATGTCTTTTGCCAAATTTTGGAAGTATTCAACCATTATTTTTTTGAGTACTTTTTCAGCCTTGCCTTCTTTCTCTACTCCTTCTGAGACATAGACTACATGGATGTTAGACCTTTTGTTAACAGTCCCCCAGATTTGTGAGAATTTGTTCTTTTTCTTTTATCTCTCTGTTGTTCACACTGGATAATTTCTGTTGCTGTATGTTCAAGTTTATTTATGTTTGTTGTTGTTGTTTTGTTTGTTTGTTTTTTGTTTTTGAGACGGAGTCTTGCTCTGTCACCCAGGCTTGAGTGCAGTGGCACAATTTTGGCTCACTGCAAGCTCCGCCTCCCGGGTTCATGCCATTCTCCTGCCTCAGCCTCCCGAGTAGCTGGGACTACAGGCGCCCGCCACCATGCCCAGCTAATTTTTTGTATTTTTATTAGAGACGGGGTTTCACCATGTTAGCTAGGATGGTCTCAATCTCCTGACCTCATGATCCGCTCGCCTCGGCCTCCCAAAGTGCTGGGATTACAGGAGTGAGCCACCGCGCCTGGCCAAGTTTATTAATTTTTCCCTCTGTCCCCTCCTTTCTCCTGTTGAGTCCAGGTTTTTTTCAGTTATTATATTTTTTAGTGCTAACATTTGTTTGGTTCCTGTTTGTATTTTCTTTGCTGACAATATTTTTTCATTTGTTTCAAGTGTGTTCATAGTTGTTCATTGAAACCTATTTATGATAATTGCTTAAAAATTTTGGTCAGATAGTGCTAACATATCTAATTTTTGTGTCATCATTTATTAGTTGTCTTTTTAAAAAAATCAGTTTGAAATCTTCCTGGATCTTGGTATGATGATTTTCGATTGAAACCTTGGCATTTTGGGTATTACGTTATGAGACCCTGGATTTTATTTAAACCTCTGTTTTAGATGGCTTCTTCTGATACTATGCTGGCAAGCAAAGGGGGAGCACTCTTTTTACTACCAAGTGGGGTTAGAAGTTCAAGTTCTCCACGTGACTTTGTTGACATCTACCGATGAAACTCTTCATGACTACTGAGTGAGGGTGGGAATTCTCGTTCCCCATGATGCCTCCATTGGCTTCCCTGGTTGAAATGTGTAGGAATGCCTCCTAGTTGCTCCCCAAGGGCCCTTCACTGACAACATGGGGGTCAGGCGGGTGGCTTTACCAGCATTCGATGGTGGGGAAAGTCCAGACACCATCCCAGCAGGGAGGGGGAGGGGTTTCTCATTAATGCGGTGGTGATGAGGGGGTGAAATTTCAGGATCCCCACCACCTGAGAATCCGTTGACACGGGGAAGAGGATAAGGGAGGGAGGAGCTCATTACTACCTAGTAGGGTTGGAAGCCTTGACTCCCTACTTAGACTTCTCTTACACTCCCCCAGTGGAGGATTTGGATACCTCAATACAACTTGGTTAGGCTGGAAGTCTACGCTCCTCACTAAGATTTTGCTAACGTGTGGGGTTGGGGGCTACGATTTTTTTCCGTGTTGTTTAGCTTCAGCAGAGCAGTTGTTTTCTAAAAGTTTCCATTCTTGCAAGGCTACTCCTTTTCTTATCCTTTTGCTAGAGAAAGTAAGCTGTTGTTGTTGTTGTTTTAATGCTCATTGACATTTCTGGTATTACTTGCTTCAGGAACAGGTCTGATATACAAGAGGCAAAAGATAAATGGAAATCACTGCCATGTGATTCTATGTGTCCTCATGTCTCTAGTATTCTGCCTTCTCTTACCTTTCAGAGCCTTTGTGTTTGTTTTATAAATCATGTCGAGGGATTTTACTTGTACTTAATGAAAGGAATAGAAAAAAGTATGTCTACTCCATCTTGCCAAAAGCCAAAGTCTCCCTGTTTACGGTTTTGTTTTTTCTGTATTTTGTTTCTTTAGAAGCTGCCATATCATTTTCCAGAGTGGCTGACTGTACCATTGACATTCCCACCAGCAACATGGAAGGGGTCTAGTATCTCTACACTCTCTCCAGTGTTTGGTGTTGTCACTACTGTTTATTGCTGTTGCTCTAATAGGTATATAGTTATATCTCATCATACCCTTAATTTGCATTTTCTTGATGGCTATTCATGTTGAACATCTTCTAATTTCCTTATTTGCATCTATATATGCCCTTTGGTGAATTTTTTTATGCCTTTTGCCCATTTTGTAAATGATTCCAATTTAACTATATCAGATTACCGGGAAAGTGAATTTTCATGATTATTAAGCCATGCTCTGTCAACAATACTGGGAAATAGAGAAAAAAGACAACATCATTAGGAAACAATATCATATATTATTTAAGCCAAAGTTGCTCAGCTTAAGCACCATTGATACTATTGATATTTTAGGATAAATATTTTTTTGTTGTGGAGAAATCTTCTATGCATTATAGCATATTTAGCAGTATCCCGACTCTTTATTCATGGGACACCAGACTCCACTCTATCTCTCCTCCAACTTATGATGACGAACGCTATCTCCAGACATTGCCAAATGTCCTCTGGGTGGCAAACTCACCCTCACTTGAAAACCACTGATCTACACTTGTTTTAACCCATATCAGTGGAGAAAAATATATATTAAATTCAGGACCTTTTAAGTACATAGGTTCAACACATAACTCAATTTTATCTTCTGTCATAACTTCTTCACTTATGGTACAACACCTCCTTTACTCCACAAGCTCTGCTGTGGCATACCCCCGACCGCAGCTCTTCCCACACTTTCTTTCATGTTGATGTTTTATAGACTCCATGTGAAACTGCCTATGATTATGATTTTTCTCATTTGCACGTAGTTTTTCTCATCAAAATGTCATTATCACAAGGTGGAAGCCCCTTAGTTAGGGTGTCATGGAAAAGATCCATTGGCAGTTCAATCTTTAGTGAAATTTTAACTCCATTTGGTAAAGCTCCCACTGTGCTATTGGCTCACTTAGGGTTTGTAGTCAAAAACTGCTTAATATTCTACCATTTCTTTTATTTTCCATTATTTTTCCCATCTGTCCATACTTTCTTGCTGAGCTTCACAGTTTCTCCTGAATATATCTTAACTCATTTTTTTTTCTGCTAACTAGACTTGATACTTTCTGCTCTTCTTTTATAATAGATTCCTCATCTGAATTCCCCTCTGGTCAATCATCCCTAAATAAAGGTAGGAACCTACATCAATATTAATGAAAAAATTCTTATTTTCTGACACAGGAAAAATAAAAATAGAAATGTGAACTCTTTATAAGTAGCATAGTTGAAATTGTGTTCCAGGGAAATCGAAACCTAAGAAAAGAAAATTTTACTGCATAAGGAGATCTGGCTAGGGAAACCCTATTTCATGCAGGTATATTGACAGATAGGCATAACGTGATAATATGTGTATCTTTGCTATATGGCATTCCTTAATGTGGAGCTGTACCACCAGGGACAAAAAACAAATATTAGAGTTCATTATTTGTGGTATTGTAAATACAGTACTTAGCAGAACCAAGAAGGTTAAATCATAATAATGACCTTTCTCCTTTTCATTTGTAGAATTGATTGAATCAACGTATCACCTTTTGCTAAGAACTCAGCCCTGGGATCATAAGTGTCTAAAGACACTTCCATGAGAATTAATATTTTGTGCTGATGTACTTCATCTTCCTCACTTTGAAGCTGCATTATAGAAAGCATTGAGATGGTGTATTCAACTATTTATGGAATATCAACATTTAATTTTTTTTTAACTTTCATTTTAGCTTCAAGGATACATGTGCAGGTTTTTCAGATAGGAAAATTCTATGTGGTGATGGTTTGATATATAGATTATTTTGTCACCCAGGTAGTAAGTATATTACCCAATGGCTAGTTTTTTGATCCTCACCATCCTCTCACCCTCCAACCTCAGGTAAGCCCCAGTGTCTGTTGTTGCCTTTGTTGTGTCCATGTGAACAGAGATAGTTTGACTTCCTAGCTGCATGCCTTTTATTTATTTCCCTTACTTGACTGCTCTGGCCAGGACATCCAGTACTATACTGAATATGAGTGGTAAGAGTAGGCATTCTTGTCTTGTTCTGATTCTCAAGGGGAATGCTTCCAGGTTTTGCTTCCAGGTGCTGGCTGTGGGTTTGTCATTGATGGCTCTTAATATTGTGAGGTATGGTCCTTCCATGCCTTGTTTGTTGAGGGTTTTTAATGTGAAGGTTATGTTGAGTTGTATTAAAAGTCTTTTCTGCATCTATTGAGAGGATCATGTGGTTTTTGTTTTTAGTTCTGTTTATGTGATGAATCGTATTTATTAATTCCTGTATGCTGAACCAACCTTCTATTCCAGGGATAAAGCCTATTTGATCGTAGTAGATTAACTTTTGGATGTGCTACCGGATACGATTTGCTAGTATTTTGTTGAGAATTTTTGCGTCTATGTTCATCAAAGTTATTGGCCTGAAGTTTACTTTTCTTTGTGTCTCTGCCAGGTTTTGGTATCAGAATGATGTTTGCTTCATAGAATGAGTTAGTAAGGAGTTCCTCCTCCTAAATTTTTTGTAATAGCTTCAGTAGGAATGGTTCCAACTCTTTTTTATACATCTGCTAAAATTTCGCTGTAAATCTTCTGGTACTGAGCTTTTTCTGGTTGATAGGCTTTTTTTTACTGATTCAATTTCGGAACTAGTTATTGGTCTGTACAGGGATTCAATTTCTTCCTGGTTCAGTCTTGGAAGCTTGTATGTTTCCAGGAATTTATCCATTTCTTGTAGGTTTTCTACTTTGTGTACACAGAGGTGTTCATAATAGTCTCTGAAGGTTTTTGTATTTCTGTAGGGTTTTATTTCTGTGTTGGTAAAATGCCCCCTTTGTCATTTCTGATTGTTATTTGCATCTTCTTTTTTATTAGTCCAGCTGGCAGTCTATCAATCTTATTTTTTCTTTCAAAAAACAAACTCCTGGATTCATTAATCTTTTGAATGTTTTTTTGGTCCCACTTTCATTCAGTTCAGCTCTTATTATGGATATTTCTTGTCTCCTGCTAGCTTTGGGGTTGCTTTCCCCTTGTTTTTGTAGCTCCTCTAGTTGTAATGTTAGGTGGTTGTTAATTTGAGATCTTTCTAACTTTTTGTATGGGCATTCAGTGCTGCAAATGTTCCTGTTCACATTGATTTAGCTGTGTCCCAGAGATTCTGGCATGTTATATACTTGTTATCATTAGTTTCAAAGAATTTCTTCATTTCTGCCTTAATTTCACTGTTTACCCAAAAGTCATTCAGGAGGAGGTTGTTTAATTTTCATGTAATTGTATAGTTTTGAGCAATCTTCATTGTATCAATGTCTATTTTTATTGTGTTGTGGTCCAAGAGTGTGATTGGTATGACTTTTTTTAATTTGCTAAGAATTGTTTTATGGCTAATTGTGTGGTTGATTTTAGAGTATGAGCCATGTGGCAATGAGAAGAATGTATATTTTGTTGTTTTGGTGTGGAGAGTTCTGTAGAAGCCTGTTAAGTTCATTTAGTCAAGTGCTGAGTTCAGGTCCCAAATATCTTTATTAGCTTTTTGCTTTGATGATCTAATACTGTCCAATGGGGTGTTGAAGTCTCTATTACTGTGTGGTAATCTCAGTCTCTTCATAGGTCATTAAGAACTTGTTTTATGAATCGGTGTGCTTCTTTGTTGATGCATATATGTTTAGGATAGTTAGGTATTCTTGTTGAATTGAACCTTTCTTAGTCTTTTTTTATTGCTGTTGGTTTACAGTCTGTTTTCTCTGAAATTAGAATAGCAACCCCTGCTTTTTTCTGTTTTCCATTTGCTTGGCAGATTTTTCTCCATCAATTTACTTTGAGTCTATGGGTGTCATTGCATGTGAGATGGGTATCTTGAAGACAGTATATAGTTAGATCTTGCTTCTTTATCCAACTTGTCACAGAGTGACAAGTTGGAGCACTTACCCTGTTTACATTCAAGGTTAATATTGGTATGTGCAGATTTGATCCTGCCATTTTGTTAGATGGTTGTTATGTAGGCTTGACTGTGTAGTTGCTTTCTAGTGGCTGTGGGCTATGTGCTCAAGTGTATTATTTAGATAGCCAGCAGCAGTCTTTTATTTCCATATTTAGCACTCCCTTAAGGACTTCTTGTAAAGCAGGTCTGGTGGTAATGAAATCCCTTTACATTTACTTGTCTGAAAATAATCTTATTTCTCATTTGCTTATGAAACTTTGTTTAGCTGCATGTGAAATTCTTGGTTGGAATTTATTTCCTTTAAGAATGCCAAATACTTTGGGAGGCTGAGGCGGGTGGATTACCTGAGGTCAGGAGTTCGAGACCAGCCTGGCCAGCATGTTGAAGCCCCATCTCTACTAAAAATACAAAAATTAACCAGGCGTGAGGGTACATGCCTGTAATCCCAGCTACTCATGGGAGGCTGAGGCAGGAGAATGGCGTGAACCTAGGAGGCGGAGCTTGCAGTGAGCCAAGATCGCACCACTGCACTCCTGTCTGGATGACAGTGTGAGACTCTGTCTCAAAAAAAAATATATATATATGCCAAATATAGGCCCCCAATCTCTTATGACTTGTAGGGTTTCTGCTGAAAGGTCTACTGTTAGCCTGTTGGGGTTCTCTTTGTAGGTGATCTGCACCTTCTCTCTAGCTGCCTTTGACATTTTTTCTTTCATTTTGAGATTGGATAATCTGATGACTATGCATCTTAGGGATGATCTTCTTGTAAGTTATCTTACTGGGGTTCTCTGCATTTCCTGAATTCGAATGTTGGATTTTCGTCGATGTTGTCCTCAAAGATGTTTTCCAAGTTACTTGTTTTCTCTGCCTCTCTTTCAGGGACTCCAATGAGTCATAAATTTGTTCTCTTTACATAATCTCTTATCTTTCAGTGGTTTTGTTCACTTTTTAATTTTTCTTCTTTATTTTTGTCTTCTGGTTTCAGGCTCTGAGATTCTTTCCTCACTTTGGTCTATTCTGCTGTTAATGCTTGTGATTGTATTATAAAATTCTTGTAGTGAGTTTTTAAAACTCTTTAAGCTCAGTTTGGTTTTTTCTTAAACAGAAGATGGCCTATTCATCTTTCAGCTCTGGTATCGCTTTATTGTATTCCTTAGATTCCTTAAATTGGGTTTCAACTTTCTCCTGAATCTTAATCATCTTCACTTCTATCCATATTATGAATTCTATATCTGTCATTGCTATGTCTGTCATTTCAGCTATTTCAGCCTGTTTAAAAACCATTGCTGAGGAACTAGTCATTCAGAGATGAGAAGACACTCGGGCCTTTTGAGCTTCCAGAATTCTTGCACTGGTTCTTTCTTATCTATGTGGGCTGATGTTCCTTTAATCATTGAAGTTGCTCTTCTTCTGGAGGGAGTTTTTTGCTCTTATCTTCTTTGATGCCCTTGAGGATTTCCTTGTGGTATACAGTGGTTTCAGTTGACTGGCTTCATTTCTGGAAGATTTTAGGAGGCTAAAGATCAGCTCAGCACTCCTGATCTGCATTCTTTAATTTTGGGGGGCTGGTACTGGGCCCTTGGCTTTGTTCTCTGGTCCCTTGAGGTTAGGAACCTGTTGCACTGAAGGGGCTGAGGTGTTCCCAGTCTGTTGGCCACAGCACTGTAATGGGGCTGCCAGCCAAAGTGCTTCACTGGGGCATTGGCAGAAGGATGCATGCTCACCTGCATGTGCCAGCAGCCATGATAGCATAGCAATGTGCACACACGTCAGCCTAGGGAGGGCACTGGCAGTGGTGGGTCAGGGGAATATGCATGCACCCATGTCTGATGGGGGAGGGGAGGGAGGGTCTACCTATGTGCAACCACTGGCAAAGCAGTGGGGGAGGGGAGTGAGTGAATGCTGGCAAAGCAGAGAGAGGAGACTGCAGTGGGGGCAGGCTGCAGATGGGCTGGTGCATGTTGACAGGGGCTGGTCTGCTGAAGCATGTTCTGCCTGTGAAGGAACTATGATAAGGGCCCCAAGAGGCACTCTGGTTGGGCATCTAAGGCTGTGCTGTAAGCAGGTGCATCAGGCTCTGGCCCAAGGAGAAGCTAGCAGACAGGGGACACTGACATTGGACTGACCCTGTCCCATGGGCAAGACCGCTCTGTTCTGTTAAGACATGTTTTTCACCCAAAGACTAAAACCTCCTAGGGGAGCATAGCAAACTCTGGGAGACAGGCATCCCTGGCCATGATCTACTGCAGCTGTTCCCATGCCAAATCCTCTGGGCTTTGCACAGGCTGGAGTCCTGCCCCTTCCACTTCTCTAAGCAGCTCTACCTGCCAGTTCAGTTGTCTGCGGGGGTCATGGAGGATTCTGGAGGTCTATTGGAAGAGCAGGCCACTCTTCACCTGTTCAGCTTACTCCTTCCTCAGGAGTCATGGGCCAGGCATCAGTCCTGGTGCTCAGCAGCCCTGTACACAGTTCTCAGCTTCCTCCTGGTTCAACCCAGCAACTGTGTCCTCTCTCCATCCACTCTCAATGCCTTTATTCTGAAGATCTGCTCGGAGTGTGCTAGTCTTCCCAATGTTTTGGTCTCTCAGTGGCACATGTTGCTCCTGGCTCATCCAGTCAGCCATCTTGGCTCCCATCTCCTAAATTTTTAAAAGACGTGTACATCTCTGATAATTTTTGAATACAACGTCTTATTTTAGTATTCAGTTCCAATATTTTCCTAGTCAAGGAAGTCAAGATGTGATTAGGCTTTACTTTTTCCGAAGAAATTGAAGGAATATTTTGCCATCCTCAACTTCAGTGATTTCTTAGAATATTTGAAATAACTATGTATAGATAAAATTTAGGTGAACTTTTTAAAAGCCTGACTTAACTTTTTTGAAGGTGGTTGATTTCACATTGGAATTCAGTGAAATTGAAGCCAGTGCTTCCATACAAACTCTTTCATATTGGTGAGTCATATGGGTGTTGGAGATTTGAAAAGTCATGATGTTTTCTTCAACATGTAATACTAGAAAATTTGACATGCAAGGGCCAATTTGTAGGATGTATCTTTCTCAAAACATTTTACAACTTAGGAAATGCTCCATTTCAGCATGCCTTAAAGCCTGTTCTAAAAAGCATCAGTTTTTAATTAATGCCAACTATTCAGTTTGAGGATTATTCATATCTCTTGCTGTTACTATTTTTTATACTGCTAACCTTTTATTCATGACCTTGCTCATTAGCACATCCAATTGGAGGAGAAGCAAAAATAAAGTAGAAAATATAAATTAGTTGATTACATAATTTTCCAACCACCCTGGTAAATTTAGAAGTGGAGATAGTACAATCTATGTGCCAAATTACCAATTTGTAATACTTGTGAATTTTAAATTACATTTTAGGTGGCCCAGAACCAGCATAAGTGAACTAAATGAATATGCATGCATATGTTGTCGTAATTATTTCCTGTAATACACTTAACAGCCTCAGTAAAATGAAAGATTGAGGATGACATTAACCAGAACATAGGTTTATTAAATTCTGATAGGAGTTAAAAAATATTTCTTTTAGAAATATAAGGCTTACATTCTGTACAACAGAAGACTGGCCTTCCATTAAAATCTTTGAGTTACTAAACAAAATGTATACATGTGTAGAAAAATAGCTCTTTTTAAGATTAAAATTATATCGAGCATATGTGTGTCATATATGTATACATGGATATATATCTATATTTCTATCTACCTATGTCTTTTTTTATTGAAAATATAATTTGTTAGTTGTGGCAAATTTAATATTATTTTTTAGCCAAAAGTGAAGATAAAAATAACCTTGTGTTCAGATGAGAGAAGAGGATTTAGTCTCTTAAGATATCTTCTTGGGGAAGTAATTAAAAAAAACACTTTTTAAAATCAAAAGACAATAAAGAATTTAAAGAGATCTTTAAAGTATAAGTTCAACTAAAGAATTGTTTGGAATATTTTCTATGGTCACAATATAGAGAAAAAAAGGTGAGAATTTCCAACTATATGTGTATAGGACACACACACACACACACACACCTCTCTCTCTCTCTTCAAGACCTCAATGATCTTGGAGTCAACAATTATCTGTCTTTATCTGAAAATATCTTATATAGAAATGTTGCTTTAAATGCTAATGTAGATGAGTATTCAATTCTATTGACAGTTATTGTCCCTCACATTTATATAGGTTCTATTTGGTTCCCTTAAAATAACTTCTTCTTTCTTAGTTTTTTTTTTTTCTTTCACAGTTTTTTTTTTTCTTTCACTATGCTTTCTATTTCTTCTTATATATCTTTTGTCATTTTAAGTTTACTTATTTTGTGGCCTAATATTATCTCAAGTCCTTAGGATGCAAATTCTCTAATTTATTAGGACTGTTGATCATATTTCTTGGTGGATCATTTCCCCTTGTGTTTTTTTTTTTAATTCTGGAAATTTTGCCAATTATAAAAGAGAAATATTATTTCCTGGGAGTCCAGTGCTCTCAGAGTTGTTTAAGTTAGACAATAATAACTTTTCCTTGATGAATTCCAGCTTTAAGCAGTCCAAGATAAGGTTTTATGTTTGTGTAAATGTAATTTCCAATTTTCACATGATGTAGGCCTGGAATTAAAGTTTATAAATAAACCTTTTTTCGTCTTGTCCTGTCATGCCATGCTTTGCCTTGCCTCATCTTAATCCTGAGGGAAAGGCAAGTTTTGGTATTACTTCCTAAGCAGAAGAATAGGATATTTCTAATTTTTCTTTCCATGAGAACCCAGCACATATAGAGTCTCAGCTCCATGCAGAAATTTCTCTTCCAGTGTGCAGCCTCACCTGGGCCCAAAAATTATGTTCCTCAATCTGTGTGTATGTTCAAAACTCAAGAAAAAACTCAAGAGCCTAGCCGTCAGGGTTCATAGTAGCCTGACATTCTTTTGGGGCTATAGAATTATCTAAAGAGTCACAAGTTTTCCATTCTAGATTTGTTTCTTTTTTTCTGCCCTTAGTGATTTCCTTTTCAGGTATGTGTTTTGAGTTTTTTCATTATATTTTATTGTTCCATGTTTTCTTTGAATTGATTTGTTAATTATACATCTTTGATTCTTCTTTTTGTGGGCGTCTTAGAGATTACAAAATATATCTTTGACTTTTTGAAATCTAGAACAAACCATTACATTTAATACTTTCTTAGTAATGTAGATACTTAGAGCATACAGTCTCCATTTTTCCATCCTCTGATCTTTTGCATTATTGTTGCCATGCATTTTAGTTCTCCCTATATTTTAAACTCCAAAAGCCATTACTATTAATGTTTTATACAGTAAGTACATGGTTTTTATTTACTTGCATATGTATACTTTCCAATGTTCTTCATTTCCTCCTGCATGTCTATGTTTACATTTGGGGCCATTTTCCTTCAGCCTAAATAACTCTTTTTAGTTTATATTATTATAGGCCTATTAAAAACCAATTCCATTAGATGTTCTTTATCAGATAAAATTCTTATTTTACCCGTACTATTGAAAGATAATTGTGTTTGATGCAGAATTTTAGGTTGGTAATTATTTTCTTTAAGCACTTTAATATTTCTTTCCATTGTCTTCTGGCATATACTACTTCTTTTAAGAAGTCAGATGTCATTCTCATTGCTATACCTCTGATGGTAATGTCTTCTTTCCTCTGGTTGCCTTTTAATTATTAATTTGTCTTGAGTGTTTAGCAATTATATTATGATGAGCCTAGATGTGTGTCTTTTTGTATTTTTCCTGGTTAGTTAAGCTTTATGTCTCTGTAAATTTATGTCTTCCATCAATTTTGAAAAATTCTTCTGCTTTATCTCTTTGAATATTGCTTCTGCCCCATTTTTCTCCATTCTGCCTTTCTAGAATTCCACGTTCCTATAAATACAAATTTTGAGCATGTTCTATATTTTCCTCTTGCTCTTTTCTTTCTAAGTCACATACTTACTTCTCACTATACTTTAATTTCAGTGTTTTCTATTGATTTGTCTTCCTGTGTATTAATTCTGTCTTCATTTTTTTCTAGTCTACTGTTAAATCCTTGATTGTTTTCTTAATTCAGATATTGTATTTTTAGTTCTAAAATACTCATTATTTCATATAGATTTCAGTTCGGTATTTTTTTCTCATCTTTTTACTTATTTTTCCCCAATTTTAAAATGTATTTTCCTGAACATATTAGTGGTAATTATTTTTAAGTACGTGTCTGCTACTTTAAAATTTGGATTATATGAATCATTTACAAGTTTGCTTTCATTTTCTATCACTGCTACTATATGTCAGAAATTGTATATATGAAAACCCATATACCCTCCAGATGACATTCTCTTCCATCAGAAAGAATTAAACACTTCCTCTGTTTAGAACATAAAGTTCAAGGTAGGGTAGGGTTGGAGGGCTTATCATATCAATATAATCAGGAATTAGGTTGTGTTGAGGCTGGGTTGTAATTTTGGTAAGACTCAATCTATACCTGGGTCTTCCTGATTCCTAGGGCATTGCCACCACAGATTTCAAGTGAGAGATTGATGGATCTTTGCCTCCATCAAAGATCTGTAGCAGAAACACCGTGGACATTATTTCCACCTATCAGAGGTTTTAAACTTAGCTCTTTAGCCTCACACTCAATAAAACTTCAAAATTTGGTCTTGAGGAAAAGACTGACATTGTGTTTGATGCCCTCACGTCTCCAATTTTAACAGTCTGGCTCAACACAACACCAAAGTGTTGGTTGGTTTCTTGGTATCTCAGCAGCAGCCTTCTGCTAGCTTCAAGCCTGGGTTATTAGCCTCCAGCTATGCTCAACATTAAAAAGTGTTTCTAGGGAAAAGGTGCCTGTGGATACTTAGTGTTAATTCTCAACTCTATTTAAAATTCCTTCTAAGAATTTTGTTTCTTGTTCGCTTTTTTTAAAAAAAGTCATATCTCCTGCTTCTGATAGGTCTTTACTCTCTAAGGCCCATGAAACTATAGGGTAGTCTACTTTTTCCACAGATTTCAGTTTAGCTTATTTGCTTCCCCAATGCAGCCTCGCAACTCAACAAATGTCTCATGTGGAGGTTAGTCAACTTTTATTTAAGATCTCTTGAGTTTTACAATTTTGTCACTCCCATCTCTGTGATTACTAACAGATTTTCATGTTTCTCTTTTTAGCAAAAGCAACCTGTGGTTCTCAACCTCTAGCCTGTACCTATAATTAGCAGATGCTACATGGAAAGATCAGCTATCATCTCACCTCACTTCTGGACACTTTAGCCCTCTCTTGAAATTTAGTTTTTCTAGTTCTCATTGCCTCTATAGTTCACTGATACTTTTTTTTTTTTTTTTTTTTTTGAGACAGAGTCTCACCCTGTCACCCAGGCTGGAGTGCAATGGCTCAATCTTGGCTCACTGCAACCTCTGCCTCCTGGGTTCAAGCAAATCCCCTTTCTCAGCCTCCCGAGTAGCTGGGATTACTGGTGCGTGCCACCACGCCCAGCTAATTTTTTGTATCTTTAGTAGAGATGGGGTTTCACCATGTTGGCAGGCTGATTTCGAACTCCTGACCTCCTGATCTGCCTGCCTTGGCCTCTCAAAGTGTTGGGATTACAGGTGTGAGCCACCGCTCCCAGCCACTGGTACTTCTTAAATTATAATTTCTTTTTCTGTGATGCTGTGAGCATTTCTAATTGTTCTGAGTAGATTATTTACATCTTGCTTGGAATCAGAAGTCAGATTTGCTTCAATATGTTTCATCTACATTATTTGTATTGGTTTGCAGCAAGAGGAGGTTCTGTTTAGGAATATCATTATAATCATTACTAGCATTATCTCCAAATACTTTTGTTGAAAGTTTAAGCTAGATGCTTTACTAAATGCTTAATATGGTCTACTTCACTTAATTCTTATAAAAAGCCTATGGGAAAATTTCACTATTAAAGTCACTTTACAGATAAGAAAAATTGAAGCTCATAGGCCAACTATCCTAAGGTCAAACAATAATAATTGGTGGAGTTGGGATTTTAGTTCAGACTACTAAACTCTACTACTTCCACAACATCCTTCTATAGGATAGGACATTATAATTCGTTTATATCATTTTCTGGGTCTTTCATATGCATTTGATTCTCTCCCCCCAAATAGGATAAAAATCTAAATTATTAGTACCAAGTTTAATACTATACTAATAATGCCATTCTTATTTCAGGTACTTGAGAATATATTGACATGACATGTCAATAACATGTACAATCTAAGTGTATGTGTAGCAAATACTAATAAAAATGTAGTATTTAGAAAATGGACCCAACATGTGGCATTGTCTACTAAGTCTCTGCTCATGCTGATTCCTGATGGTTTTGTGGAATATTGTGTTAGTTTTTTTAGGGCTAATGAATTTGACTTAATTTCTTTACCCCTCTCAGCCAAGTCTTTCCACATTGTGGCTTCTCCCATGGGGTCCTTGCTAATAAATATTTTAATTGAACTGCTTTATTAAAATGAGTGTCTATATGATCATCTAGACACCCCACAGATGTAAGGGGAGATTACGAGTTCAAATTAGATTGGAGTAGGCAGATCCAGGTTTGATCCTGCTACCGCATTATCACAAATTCCGCTAATAAGGGAATCCAAGTTCACACAGATTAGTAAATATAATGAAATGAGACTTCAAGTACTTGTAAGTTTTCTTTCAGTAAATCATTGATATTTATTAAGCATGAAAGACTGACAGTTTCCAAGCAAAGAAAGCAGATAAATGCTATTAACCACATATTAATTTCAGTTGCTATGTAACTTGATTATTTGCTGATTTTATTCATCCAGGTGGGTGATTTCTAGTTTATTGTTCCTACAAAGAATGTCTTTCATTTATTTTTAAAACAAAATGATACAGAATAAAATTTCTGCCTCTATTTCTGTTTAGAATAGCATTTCTCTATTATTTTTCTTTTTATAAGCAGCCACAACTATTCATAATTCATTTAATTGTGAATAATTTTATCATTTTATAATGTTTCAATTTTTATATGGCCTTATAATTATGTGTATAATTCTATGCAAACTGTCAAAGAATATAACCTAACAAATTGAAATTTTTAAAAAGAACAAAATCTCCTTAAAATAAAATTCCAGGTCTTATACTTCTGAAAGTTTTTCTTATCATATTTGTTCTCTATATTAATTAAAATCTAAATAACATGTAAATATTCTTATATTAAGCTTTCTTATTTAACTGAAACCCTTCAATAGCAGGGCTGTCAAATATTTCATATTCTAAGACAAGGACAAAAAAAGTCAGACTAATGCCAGTATTGATGGCAGTGGCTGCTGCCATCACCCTGGCTGCAACAGGGAGGCACAGCTTGGGTTGAGCACTCCATGGGGCTGGTGGGAGCCCCGCCTTTTCTGAGTTGGAGCGGGACGTCCTCAGGTGCAGCTGTAGTTGCTCAAACCGCGGCTGCAGACGCAGGCCTCCTGCTCTATGGAGCTCTATAGAGCAGGCAGCCTCCCAGACCGCAGCTGCGGATCCAAGCTTCCCTGTGGTCTTGAAGGAGGATGGGGAGCAGGCAAGATCTGCCTTCCTGGTGCAGCTGCAGCGCAGGACCCAGCGTCTCTGCAGCCTGCATCCTCAGGGGCCCCGGGAAAGACTCCCCCAATCCCCGTCCCCATCTCTGCAGGCTCAGGAGTGTCTGCTCCCATGGCCTGGCCTCTCTCAGCTCCTAGTTTCTGCTCCGATCCGAGTGGGGTTGGGGCTGAGTCCTGGGGCCTTGAATGGCAGTGGGAGGCAGACACAGTCCTGGGCGGAAGGAAGCAGGTGCCCAGCTAGGCCCCATCTTCAGGCAGAGGAGGGCCTGAAGGCTGGGGGCCAGTTCCGTGGACTGGAGTGGGGACTCGTGGTGCCTTTTCTGGTCAGCCCATGGCCACCCATAAACAGCAGGCACACACTTCCTCCTCTCTGAGGTCCATAAAAGCCCTGGGCTCAGCCAGAGCAGGGCAGAGGACAGCCAGAGAAGGCAGAGATGAGGGGATGAGATGACTAGTTGCAGAGAGGAGTGCCCTCTCCACAGAGAGCTACAGAGACGACCTGCTGGCAGAGAGAAGCTATCCTCTCTACTGAGAGCTTCAGAAACTGGTGGAGAGGAGCTACTGTCTCTGCTGAAAGCTTCAGAGACCTGCAGAGACATCTGAATGACCTGCCTGCAGAGGGTAGCCACCCTCTCCAGGGCCTCCACTCTGTTGAGAGCTGAACACTCAATGGGAAGACCTGCGTACAGAGAGGAGCACCCATTCTATGTCCCCTCTGAGCTGTTCTAACACTAAATACAACTCTCATCTTCTTCACCGTTCTCTTGTCTGCATACCTCATTCTTCCTGGACGCAGGACAAGAACTCAGACAAAGGCGCCCCAGCCACAGAGGTTTCTGGCTAGAAAAATTGACACCCCAGAGATCCTATAACAATATTTTCCTCTATTGCTAAACTGAAAGCAGGTTTTATTATTATGGTTTGGGAAAGGAGGCTGAGACTTCTCTTAATTTAAATGGCAACTCACTTGGTAAATAATTCAAAAGGTGTAAAGGATGATGGAAAAGAAAGGGATAAGGTTATTGGTATGAAGTAATCCAAGACAAGTCTCTTGTTGGGAAGGTAAAAACAGAGATCTAAAGGTGATTCAGTTAGTTATACAGAAGAGGTGTGAATGACAAATTGATGAATATTACATTTCTTTATATAAATATTATTTCCATTTAAGCAATAACTGAAAATTGCTTGTAAATAAATCTTTTCTAATCATTACTGTTCTGGATAGCTTATTAATTTGAAAATAAAAATGCCCATTAAATTTTTCCTGAATTTTACCAAATCTTAAGAATATTGAAGTTTACTGTCAATTTAATTTGTATTCCATCAAAGACGGAACGACAAACTCTAAGGCAGCCTACTTGAGGGTGGTGGACGGGAGGAGGGAGAGGTTAGAAATAATAACACTTGGGTACTAGGCTTAGTAGCTAGGTGATGACATAATCTGTATAACAACCCCCCATGACATGAGTTTACTAATACCTATATGACAAACCTGTGAATGTACCCCTGAAACTAAAATAAAAGTTTTTAAAAATGGGCACATATTCCATTTATTATAATACATGGGCCCCTTAAATTGGCTCATTTTAATCTGGTTAAAGCAAATTTTCTCAAATTTTCTTTGAGGCACAATAAGCCTTTAACACTGGTTACAGTTCCCCTCAGCCACATCTGGTTTGGGTCATCTTTTAGGCTTGCTAAAATAATAGTAATAGAAATAATAGTAGTAATGATGATAATAAAAGTAAATTAATACCCATAAATACAGCACATTATTGGTTTCCTAAATTTCTTTTAAGATGTGTTTCTGCCTCCATTCTTAATTTTTGGGGCAAAATTCCTAAATGCTTCCACGATGATTATTAATTTCCTGTCTCTCAAATTATCTTCTTTGTGACCTTTTCTGCTATTTGAAAATATTTAGGAATATTTTAACCCATCCTAGAATTTAAACCATGAAAGAGAATAGGCCAGATAAAGTACCTTCCCAGAAGTTTCTTTGGGTCCTATGCAATATGCATCTACTCTTTCCTTCTCAAGTGACTGCTGCATACAGCAGCTTTGTCAAGTCACAAAAGATTCCTTACTCTTCCTCCTAGGGTAATAGTTATCTGCTGTTTTATATTTATGTGATTACATTACTATATAATTATTCCTAAAACTAAAAGAGATCTGCATAGTGATGATTTTCTGTCTCCACAGATAGGTGGCTAGCTACAGTTAAATGATGGAAATGATGGACTTCTTTCGGTAATACATACATGAATGCCACATTTTCCACCTGTTCTTCATGCCCCAAATTCACACAAATCAGTGGGTACCTATGAAAATCCCAATCTTTGCTAGCAATTGTGTGAGGATAAAGGCATATGGCTACATGAGGCACATGGCCTATTCTCAAGGAATTTACATTATGGATGTTGATAGCTTGCCATATATTTCTGTGAATGTTGGCTGCAGAGAAGGTAAATTCCAGTTTCAGTGCCACTTTAAAGATGCTGTTTCTTTTCTGTGTGGCTCCAAGTTAGTCTCCCCTGCCCAGAAACAGCAATAGGAGATTTTCTGATTGAACTGTTTCATACCCAGAGATCATGTATTTTACCAAAATGACATGCACACATATATTGTACCTTCTCTTCAAATCTCTTTTATCCTCAGTCAAAGCCATGAGTATAAGTACTGCCTCCAGTTAGTTAATTGACCAGCAAAGAGAAATTTCTTTTCTTTTTTCAGAAGAAAGGTTTAAAATAATAAATTATAGAGGTTTTGTTTTTATTTTTGTTTTTGTTTTGTTTTGTTTTAGTTTTAGATTCTGGAGTACATGTGGAAGTTTGCTACATTGATATACTGCTTGATGCTGAGGTTTAGGCTCTAATGGTTCCATCACCCAAGTAGTGAAAATAATACTCAATAGATAGTTTTCAGCCCTTTACCTTCTTCCTAGCCTGCACCTTTGGAATTCCTAGTGTTTATTGTTCCTATCTTTGTGTCCATGTGTACCCAGTGTTTAGAACCCACTTGTAAGTGAGAATTTGAGGTATTTCGTTTTTTGTTTCTGCCTTAATTCACTTAGCATGATGGCCTACAGCTGTGTCCATGTTGCTGCAAAGGACATGATTTCATTTTTTTAAATGGCCTTATAGTATTCTATGGTGACTATGTACCACATTCTCTTTACCCAATCCACCGCTGATGGGCAGCTAGGTTGATTCCATGACTTGCTACTATGAATAGTGCTGTAATGAACATACAAGTGCATGTGTCTTTATGGTAGAGCAATTTATTTTCTTTTGGGTATATACCAAGTAATAGGATTGCTGGGTCAAACTGTAATTCTACTATTATTTCTTAGAGAAATCTCCAAACTGCATTCCACGGGGGCTGAACTAATTTGTATTTCCACCAACAGTATATAAGCGTTCTCTTTTCTTCCCAACCTCACCAACATCTGTAATTTTTTGACTTTTTAATAATAGCCATTCTGACTGGTGTGAGATGGTGTCTCACTGTGGTTTTGATTTGCATCTCTGTGTTGATTAGTGATGTTGAGCATTTTTTCATATGTTTCTCGGCCATGTATATGTCTTCTTTTGAGAAGTTCCTGTTCGTGTCCTTTACCCACTTTTTAATGGGTTGTTTGTTTTTTGCTTATTGATTTAAGTTTCTTATAAGTTATGGATATTAGTCCTTTGTCAGACACACAATGAATATTTTGTGAATATTTTCTCTCATTCTGTAGGTTTTCTGTTTAAAATTATAAACTATAATTTTTATAGTTTGAGGTCTTACATTTAATTCTTTAAACCATCTTGAGTTAATTTTTGTATAAGGTGAGAGTTAGGTGTCCAGTTTCATTCTTCTGCATATGGTTAGTCAGTTTTCCCACCACCATTTACTGAATAGGGTATCCTTTCCCTATTGCTTTTTGTTTACTTGGTCAAAAATAAGTTGGTTGTGGGTGTGCAGCTTTATTTCAGGGGTCTCTATTCTGTTCCATTGGTCTGTGTGTCTATTTTTATACCAGTACGATGCTGTTTTGATTACTGTAACCTTATGGTATGGTTTAAAGTTGGATGTGATACCTCCAACTTTGTTCTTTTTTGTACGATTGCCTTGACTATTCAGGTTCTTTTTTATTTCATACGAATTTTAGAATATTTTTTTCTAATTCTGTGAAAAATAATGTTGGTAATTTGATAGGAATATCATCAAATCTGTAGATTGCTTTGAGCAGTATGACCATTTTAGCAATATTGATTCTTCCAACCCAAAAGCATGGAATGCTTTTCTATTTGTTTGTGTCATCTCTGATTTCTTTCAGCAGTATTGTATGGTTCTCCTTGTAGAGATCTTTTACCTCAGACGTATTCCTAGGCATATTTTTGTGTGTGGCTATTCTAAATGGAATTGTATTCTTGATTTGATTCTCAGTTTGGAGGTTATAGGTGTATAGAAATGCTACTGATTTTGTAAGTCGATTTTGTATCATTAAGACTTTACCAGCAAAGGGAAATTTTGATGGAAATCTTTTTTATAGGAGTAAACCTGAGGCTAGTAGGTGGAAAGCCAGGTAAAATGATGAAAAATGCCCTCAGTTCAAAGTCAGTAGACATGTTTATGAACTCAGTTTTGCCATAAAGTGAGAGTGAGTCCATAGTTTCCTGGGTCTCTATCTCTCATCTGTAGCACAAGAGACATTTCTTAGCTCAGAAACTCTCTGATAAGAATAATCATTTCAATCATCATTTACAACTGCAGAAATTGCATTTAAAATGTAGTTTGCTCTCTCATTAAGTAGAAATTTTTGAATCAGGTTCAGTTAGAGGAGCAGAATCCTGGCAGGAGAGTCTTCTAGAATCTCCTTCAATTGAGTTTTGGCCTTTGTCAATGCAGATGATGTCTCTGGGACTTTCTGGGTCCAAGAAGAGTACGTCAGTACTCTTCTGTAATTATGTAGGTTCCACTTGCTTCAACTTTTTCTAAGTGTCTCTAATGAAATATATTTGAATATAGTTGATTATATTTACTTGTAGCAAATTTAATTATTACATACTTTAAGAAAGTAATATCTTAGCAAAATCCTTTGAATAATTAACTATTAATTACAGTGTTGGCTGGTATTAAGGAAAAATGTACTTTTCAATTTTTATGTGAGTATCTATTTTCCCTGTAAGTAAATTGTGAAGGACAAATACTTCTACATTCTAATTTAAATGTTTTTTAACTCAAAAGAGGGACTGTGGAGTTATTGTTTATTAATAGAACAAAAGAAGCACATGATTGAAAATCTAGAGAAAATAGAAGTGGACTTTTTCCTTTTATCTAGAATCTAAAATTCTTCCTCTTCTCTATCTGTCAATCTCTTTCCCTCTCTCTCTCCCCCTCTCTCTCTCTCTCCCCCGCCCACCCTCATTTCCGCAGAGTTCCAAAACACTAGAAATCATTATGTTGGTACCAATGACATTAGAAAATACATAAATGCATGAAGATCCTATATAACCATATATCCAAACAGATTGACTAAGAGTGCCAGTACAGTAGTTGGATTTGATGTGTTAAATGTTTATACATTTTATCTTTTATTAAATGCAGTAAATAATATAAATTCTGCCATTCACAATGTCTCAAGATTTTGAAATGGATTGAGGTAGAGATTTACATTTGCTCTATCTATGAAAAAAATATTTTCTAAGCAAAGTCATTATTGCAAATATATTTCAGCAGGAAGGCATTTATCCCATTTAGGACATTTGATCAAGTAATTTGAAAATCACCCAGTGTTAATTTATTTACACGTAATCAATATGGTAATTACAAGTAGTTCTATCATTTACTTACTTGCATGTAATAAATATAACTTCTGTTTGTTTTCATTTTCTTTTTAAAATTTCAACTTTTTAAATTTTAGATATGGGGGTATGTGTGCAGGATTATTACATAGGTATACTGCACCCAAGTAGTGAGCATAGTATCTAAGAAGTAGTATTTCAACCCATGTCTCCCCTCCACCACTCTAGTAGTCTACAGCATTTGTTGTTTCCGTGTTTATGTCCATATATGCTCACTGTTTAGCTTCTACTTATAAGTGAAAACATGCAGTATTTGATTTTCTGTTCCTGTGTTCATTTGCTTAAGATTATGGCCTCCAGCTGCATCCATGTTGCTGCAGAGTACATTATTTCATTATTTTTATGGCTGTGTAGTATTCCATGGTGTATATGTACCACATTTTCTTTATCCAAACCACCACCGATGTGTACCTAGGTTGATTCCATGTCTTTGCTATTGTAATTAGCACAGTAATTAATACAGAAGTGAATGTGTTTTTTTGGTATAACAATCTATTTTCTTTTGAGTTATATACCCAGAAATGGGATTGCTGGGTTAAATGGTAGCTCTGTTTTAAATTCTTTGGGAAATCTCCAAACTACATTCCACAGCAGCAGATCTAATTTGCATTCCCACCAGCAGTGTATAAGCATTCTCTTTTCTCTGTAGTCTTGCCAGTTATCTATTGTTTTATGACTATTTAAAAAATAGTCATTCCGACTTGTGTGAGATTGTATCTCATTGTGGTTTTGATTTACATTTCTTTGATGTTTAGTGATAATGAGCATTTTTTCATGTTTGTTGGCTGCTTGTATCCCTTCTTTTGAGAAGTATCTCCTGATGTTATTTGATCGTTTTTAATAGAATTATTTGTTTTTTTCTCATTGATTTATTTAAGTTCCATAGAGATTCTGTGTATTAGATTTCGGTGGATGCATAGTTTGCAAATATTTTCTCCCATTCTATAGGTTGTCTGTTTACTTTGTTGATAGTTTCTTTTGCTGTGCAGAAACACATTAGTTTAAATACGTCCCACTTGTCAATTTTTGTCTTTGTTGCAATTGCTTTTGGGGACTTAGCAAAAAATTCTTTGTCAAAGCCAACATTGATAAGGATACTTCTTACGTTTTCTTCTAGGATTTTTATACTTTGAGGTCCTATATTTAAATTTTTAATCCAACTTGAGTTAATTTTTGTATATAGTGAAAGGTAAGGGTTTAGTTTCATTTCTTCTGCATGTAACTAGACAGTTATTTCAGCACCATTTATTGAATAGGAAGTTCTTTCCTCATTGCTTGTTTTTGCTGGCCTTGTCAATGATCATATGTTCATAGGTATGCAGCTTTATTTCTCAGTTCTCTATTCTATTCCATTGGTGTATGTGTCTGTTTTCATACCAGTACCTTGCTGTTTGGTTACTAGAGCCTTATAATATAGTTTGAAATTTGGTAGTGTAATGCCTCTGGCTTTGTTCCTTTTGCTTAGGATTGCTTTGGCTATTCAGGTTCTTTTTTCATTCCATATAAGTTTTAGAATTTTTTTTTCTAATTCTGTAAGGAACAATGTTGGTGGTTTGACAGGAGTAGTGTGGAATCTGTAAATGGCTTTGAGAAGTATGACCATTTTAACGATGTTGATTCTTTCTTTCAGTTCATGAGCGTGAAATGTTTTTCCATTTATTTGTGTCATTTCTGATTTCTTTCAGTAGTGTTTTGTAGTTCTCCTTGTAGAGATCTTTCACCTCCTTGGTTAGCTGTTTTCCTAGTTATTTCTATGTGCATAGATTTTTTCATCGTATCTCTAATGATCTTTTATATTTCTGTGGGATCAGTTGTCATGTCCTCTTTGGTACTAATTTGGATCTTCTGGGTTTTTTTTCCTTTGTTGCTCTAGCTAGCAATCTATCAATCTTTGTTTTTTCTTGAAGGACAAATGCTTTGAAAGTTTCATTGATCTTTTTTATGAACTTTTGCATCTTAATTTCATTAAGTTATTCACTAATTTTAGTTATTTCATTCATTTTGCTAGCTTTGGGGTTGGTTGTTTGGTTTTGTTTTGTTTCTAGGTCCTTTAGGTGTGTTAGATTGTTTATTTGAGATCTTTTCAACTTCTTGATGAAGGCTTTTAGGGTTATTAACTTTCCTTTTAACACTGCTTTAGCAGCATACCAGAGATTTTGGTTATTCGTGTCACTATTTTCATTAATTTCAAAGAGTTATTTGGGAACAAGTTGTTCCATTTCCATGTATTTATGTTGTTTTGAGAAATCTTGATATTGATTTCCATTTTTATTGCATTGTGGTCCAAGCATAAGCTTTGTATGATTTCAATATTTTTGAATTTATTGAGACTTGCTTTATGACCAAGCAAGTGGTCAACCTTATAATATGTTCCATGTGCAGATGAGAAGAATGTATATTCTGTTTGTTGGTCAAGTGTTGAATTTAAATCCAGAATTTATTTGTTAGTTTTCTGCCTCCATGATCTGTCTGACACTATCAGTGGGGTGTTAAAGTCTCCCATTATTATTATGTGGTTGCCTACATCTTTTCATAGGCCAAGGAAAACTTGTTTTATGAATCTGAATGCTGCAATGTTGTGTACATATATATTTAGGATAATTAGGTCTTCTTTTTAGATTGTACCCTTATTATTATGTAATACCCTTCATTGTCTTTCTTAATTTTTATTGATTTAAAATCAATTTTATCCTATATAAGAATAGTAACTTCCACTCTTTTTGATTTCCATTTGCATGGTATATTTTTCTCCATCTCTTTACTTTGAGCCTTTGGGTATCACTACAGGTGAGATGGGTTTCCTGAAGACAACAGAAGGTTGGGTCTTGTCTTTTTCTGCAGCTTTCCACTCTGTGTCTTCTAAGTGGAACATTTAGCTCATTTTCCATCAGGCTTAATATTGATATGTGAGATTTTGAGCCTGTCATCGTGTTGTTAGCTTGTAGTTATGTACACTTGATTGTGTAGTTGCTTTATAGTGTTTGTGGGTTATGTGCTTAAGTGTGTTTTTGTGGTAGCTGGTGGTGGTCTTTCGAATCCATGTTTAGCGCTCTATTAATTACCCCTTGAATGCTTGTTAATATAAATTCCCTTAGCACTTGCTTGTGTGAGAAAAATTTTATTTCTCCTTCACTTATGAAGCTTCATTTGGCAGGATATGAAATTCTTGGTTGGAATTTCTTTTCTTTAAGAACACTGAAAATAGGCCCTTGATCTTTTCTGGCTTGTGAGATTTCTCCTGAGAGATCTTCTGCTAGCCTAATGGGGTTCCCTCTGTATATGACTTGACCCTTCTCTCTAGCTGTCTTTAAGATTTTTTTTTCTTTGTACCCTTGTGATGGTCATCTTATGTAGTATCTAACCAGGGTTCTCTGTATATGCATATCAACCTCTAGCAAGATTAGGGACATTTTTATGGACTGTATCATCAAATATATTTTCCAAGTTGCTTATTCTCTCTCCTTCTCTCAAGAATGTCAATGAGTTGTAAATTTAGTCTCTTTACATAATTTCATATGTCTCAGAGGTTTTGATCATTTTTAAAATTCTTGTTTATCTTTATCTTACAGAATTAATTTGGAGAACTGGTCTTGAAACTATGAGATTCTTTCCTCAGCTTGGTCTATTCTCCCGTTAATACTTCCAACTGTATTATAAAATTATTGTACTAAATTTTTCAGTTCCAGAATTTCAGTGTGATTCTTTCTTATAATGGATATTTCATCTTTTAGTTCGTGGATCGTTTTTCTAGATTCCTTGAATTCATTTGATTTGGTTTCATCTTTCTCTTGAATCTCAATGTGCTTCTTTGCCATCCAGATTCCGAATTCTATGTCTGTCATTTCAGAAAAACTAGATTTAAAAAATACCTTTTTTATTGCAAGGACTACTTACTATAGACTATTTACTATTTATAGTTCCCTTCTCTCCTTTGCCAATCTATTTCTCCCCCAATGAGTTGAGTTTTTATATGTATAGAAATTATGTAACTGGTCATTTATTCACAGTGTAAGAGTTGCTCATCTTATTAATGTGCTCTAAATTTACCTGTACTCATCCACTATATTACAGATAGATAGATAGATAGATAGATAGATAGATAGATAGATAGATAGATGATAGATGGATAGGTAGATATACAGATATGGATAGATAGATCACCTTTCTTCCAAAGAGCTCTCTGTGTTTCATTCATTTTATCACTTCCCCCCACCCCAGGAATGGACATTATCACATTGCACAGAAAAATAAAAGCAAAATTAAGAGTGGGGCCTAGAATCCAAATTATCTGTGTCTGATGCTGACTGCAGATTTTTATAAAACAATAACAAGCATTTATTGAGCACACACTATATGCCTAGCATTGTCCTAGAGGTTTCACATGCATAGTCTCATTTATTGTCCTTTAAGACAGGTAAAATCAATAACTCCATTTTGCAAAGGAGAAAATGAAGGTGTGGAGAGGAGAGGTTAAGTAACTTGCTCAAAGTCTCAGGTTAATAAGTGGCAGAGCTGGACCCATCCTGGTATATGAACATTCAATGCCTTACTCTAAGCACTAAACTTAATACAGCCCCATCTTTGCATCATTGGTGTGCTCTCCTATGTTCATTTTTCAAATTTTTTATGCCAGAGAAGTATTTAATATTAGGTACATGAAGCTGTAAGCTTCAGGGTCCCCTTGGTTGTTGGGAGTTGCTGCAGGTTTCAGAAGGGGAGAGAAAGCCTGTTTATAGTCACGAAGAACTTCTGTTTAAGTATTTCTCGTAAATTGCCTAAAGAGATCTCAGAAGAAAGAAATCTAAATCTCCAAGTCTCCAGGAAATTGTTGTGATTTTTTCATTTATTCCATGTAAGTATTTATTTTCATATTTAATTTTGTAATTATACCTTGATATTCTTTTCCTTAAAAAGGGCACCCATAATTGTGTAAGTTTTCATCTATGAATCCTGGCTCCTCTCTTTATTTACCTTTTGGAATTTTTGCATATAGAAAATTATAGCATCTATTTCATAGTTAGAAACATGCTGAATGCTAGGTACCAGTGGGAGGGCTGATTGTATGGACAGAATCAGACTGCCTTAACAGGCAACTAATAATTTCAGGTGCTATTGCAGGTCTGTATTTTTTAAGATAGTAGGAGAGGCCAGGCGCAGTGGCTCATGCCTGTAATTCCAGCACTTTGGGAGACTGAGATGGGTGGATCACGAGGTCAAGAGATCGAGACCATCCTGGTCAACACGGTGAAACCCTGTCTCTACTAAAAATACAGAAATTAGCTGGGTATGGTGGCATGCGCCTGTAGTCCCAGCTACTTGGGAGGCTGAGGCGGGAGAATCGCTTGAACCTGGGAGGCGGAGGTTGCAATGAGCCGAGATTGCGCCACTGCACTCCAGCCTGGAGACAGAGAGAGACTCTGTCAAAAAAAAAAAAAAAAAAAAAAAAAAAAAGATAGTAGGAGATAGCAGATGACCTATTGTTTCTGAATTCTCTCTTAATAGTCTGTCACGGGGGAAATTTTCCTGGTCAAAAAGCATCTCCTTAATGCTAATTTTTAATCCAATATGTAAATAACCAGTGGCTTTCAAACATTTTTGAACGCAACCCACATAAATAAATATAGGTTACATGCTTGGCGTGACCCATTAAAAGGATTTCCCAACTTGCTAACAGGTGACAGAATTTAGTTTGAAAAAGACAGTTCAAGAACATACTGGCTCCCTGAAATGAATTTTTTTCCATAAGCAAAAACATGGGGGACATAGGGAAAGTGCACTAATCTAGTTGTCCCTCCTTGTCCAATCACTATCCACAATGAGAAGTAGAACTAGCTGTTCCAAAGGGAAACGAACCTCAGACAGTAAGCAGGAATCAGTCATCCAAGGTACTAAAGAGTTGTCATTGGTTTGTTGGTTCGTTTATTAATTGGGAGTGAGCCATTCCATGGCTTTTACTGCCCATTTTACAGAGGTACCTCGCACTGGTCCATCGGCTACATTGTCTAATCATCCACAGGAGGCTAATTTAAATGACTATGCTATTCGTGATTAAGCCATCAGTTGATGATGGAACTAAAGGTTGTTAGTTTAAATTCCCCTCCGAAGATTTTTTTTTGTAAATATTTAAACACAGAAACTAGCTGAATATAGTGATGAAGAAATTTGATACACTGTATAAAGAGGAATGTTCTTCCACAGTATGTATACGATTGCTGCTGATTCATAATCAGCATATGTTACCTAAATTGCACATTTTGTGAAAAAAATATATAGCAAATTGATTGAGTGCTCAACATCTTTGAAAACTACAGACTTGTCACAGGGCTTATTTTTGTATCCTATGTCTTTGCAAAAAATGAAATTCACCAATAACTTTAAAGGTAGGCAGCCTTGGAATGTGAATTTATGAATCAGTTATCTTTTCTTTTAAAGTTAATTGCTTTTTAAATCAAGGAAGCTTAACATAGATATTAATTGGCAAAATAGAGCTGCAGGTGCACTTTTGGTTTCGAATTTAGTATAGCAATTTCTTCTTATCTGTAATAAAGTATATTTATCAAATGTTAGCCACCTGTAGGAATGTGGAAGTCACCTGGAAGACTCAAATCAAAATGCAGCCTTTTTAAGTCTGAAGAGTTTATTTGTAACCAGTTTTTAATATATTGGCAAAATGTCCAGTAACCCTGGTAACAGCCATTGGGGCAAGCATCTGCTAAGTGCTTAGTTATTCCCATTTTGTAGATGAGGTGATCAATGATCTTTTCAGCAGATTTCCTCAGTAAGAGGAAAGCTCTGTTCATGACTCACTGCCTTACATGAAATATGTTAGCTCACTGAGCCTGATGTTGGTCTTAATGAATGTGTATACTTGAGGATATAGATAAGTAAGGAGAATGGTGAGAAAAAAAAATCCCTCTGGGTTATGTGAGCTATTCCTGATCATTCTCTCATCACATAAGCCTGCTGAGAACCACTATGGGGGAAACTTTATGCTACAACAGTTCACTCCTATGCCTAAATGACAAGGTCAATGCCTGGTCTTGTTTTTCCAGTGCCGGTGAATATTTTACACAATTATATTTAAGGGAGTCCTCTAAAGAAAATGAAGCTCTTTAGTGTTAGTCCCACTTGTTCAATCCTGTCCACTTTGATCAAGGCAGGATATTTTTCCTAAATGCCTGGATGAAAAACCAAGAGGATTTGGGTAGGCAAAAAATGAAAATAAACATTTTTAAACACTTATTTAGATCAATATTTAGTGCCTCTGTCCTGAGCTCTATGCCAGGTGTTTTCCTGATAGCATCTCAATTAAACCTATACTGATTTCTCTAAGAACTTTCCTTATTCCTGCCTTACAATAAGGACAATCAGACTCAGGGAAGCAAATCCCTGAAAGATGGCTGAGAGATAGTAAGCAGCTGAGTCAGAATCCATGAGGAAGTGTGTCTGAAGACACAGCTCATTACAATATGTTCTTGGAGATCCCAAATTAATTCAGGGCTTGTCTGAGACTAGAACCAAGTTATAATCTTCATGACTGACTTTCCTTGCACTAGACTATGCTGCATCATGACATGGCCTCGGATTTATCAACTAAGGGAGAGATTGTCTTCTAAACATGGGCTCTTTACTAATAAAGTATCTTAGGTGAAAGGTCCTGAGCTCTCCATTGAGAGGCTAGTCATTCAATGAGTCATCCTACTACATATTTGTGACACAGCAATCAGAGGTCTGAGTCAATCAAAATCAAATCTGCCTCCATAACTACAACCAAATGTTGTTGCCATCCAGGAGGAAACTTGGCTTCACTGATTAACAAGTAGCCATGATAGTTGATTGAGAACTGAGCAAAGCAGTCTTGCTTACGCTATAAATGGGGCCTTTCCATTGTGGTCATAGTCTTGAGAGTCTTCAGAACTTATAGTCAAGACTGCTAAGCTCAACCTGCTCTGTCTTGATTCTTTGGTGCAAAATTGTTCTAAGCTATAATTACTTACAAAAACCTAGGATAGCTCTTGTCTAGCTTTCCCTTCTCTAAACAGTGCTGTTGATTCTCTGTTCCATGATAACCATTGCTTTCTAGATCAGGATAGATGCCAAAGAAATCATTAAAATTCTCAAAGCCAGTTAAATACAATGAATATCAACTACCTGCTGCATGGCAGGCATAGTCTAAGGGCCTAAGGAGGTTACATAAATGAATGCATAGTCCATCAAAGGAGAAAGACATGTGCACAAATAACTCTAATGTCAATTGTGCTGTGCTTGAAAATAGAGGTGCATGATAGAGTTGGCCACCTCTTACTAGGAGAAACAGCAATATATGAAAGAAGAGAAAACACTGGATCCTGGTCTGGAAGACAAAGAGTATTTTAACAGTAGGAGAAGGGCCTTCGATGACAGGGAGGAGAAAAGCAAGAACATTACACACAGGGGAGACAGCACAAACAAAGGTACATTGGTATGAATACATATCACCAGAATAATACAAGTAGCACCAAAATGAGAGGTGAACAGGGAAGAGATGGTTGAGATTCAAGGGGCAGATCAATCTGGAAATTCTTGTGAAGCAAGCAAGATTGCTGAGCAATGCCAAGAAGTTGTAATTTCATTTGGTAGGAAATAGGAAACCTTTATGAATTTATAAGTAGAACAGAGGAAGGAATATTGCTTAGGACACATAGCAATTTTTTTTATTTTCTTATACTTCAAGTTTTAGGGTACATGTGCACAATGTGCAGGTTTGTTACATATGTATACATGTGCCATGTTGGTGTGCTGCACCCATTAATTCGTCATTTAACATTAGGTATATCTCCTAATGCTATCCCACCCCCTCCCCACCCCCAACAACAGGCCCCGGTGTGTGATGTTCCCCTTCCTGTGTTCATGTGTTCTCATTGTTCAATTCCCACCTATGAGTGAGAACATTCAGTGTTTGGTTTTTTGTCCTTGCGATAGTTTGCTGAGAATGATGGTTTCCAGCTCCATCCATGTCCCTACAAAGGACATGAACTCATCCTTTTTTATGGCTGCATAGTATTCCATGGTGTATATGTGCCATATTTTCTTAATCCACACTATCATTGTTGGAAATTTGGGTTGTTTCCAAGTCTTTGCTATTGTGAATAGTGCCGCAATAAACATACGTGTGCATGTGTCTTTATAGCAGCGTGATTTATAATCCTTTGGGCATATACCCAGTAATGGGATGGGGCTGGGTCAAATGGTATTTCTAGTTCTAGATCCCTGAGGAATCGCCACACTGACTTCCACAATGGTTGAACTAGTTTACAGTCCCACCAACAGTGTAAAAATATTCCTATTTCTCCACATCCTCTCCAGCACCTGTTGTTTCCTGACTTTTTAATGATTACCATTCTAACTGGTGTCAGATGATATCTCATTGTGGTTTTGATTTGCATTTCTCTGATGGCCAGTGATGATAAGCATTTTTTCATGTGTCTGTTGGCTGCATAAATGTCTTCTTTTGAGAAGTGTCTGTTCATATCCTTCACCCACTTTTTGATGGGGTTATTTGTTTTTTTCCTGTAAATTTGTTTGTGTTCTTTGTAGATTCTGGATATTAGCACTTTGTCAGATGAGTAGATTGCAAAAATTTTCTCCCATTCTGTAGGTTGCCTGTTCACTCTGATGGTAGTTTCTTTGCTGTGCAGAAGCTCTTTAGTTTAATTAGATCCCATTTGTCAATTTTGGCTTTTGTTGCCATTGATTTTGGTGTTTTAGACATGAAGTCCTTTCCCATGTCTGTGTCCTGAATGCTATTGCCTAGGTTTTCTTCTAGGGTTTTTATGGTTTTCTGTCTAATATTTAAGTCTTTAATCCATCTTGAATTAATTTTTGTATAAGATGTAAGGAAGGGATCCAGTTTCAGCTTTCTACATATGGCAAGCCAGTTTTCCCAGCACCATTTATTAAACAGGGAATCCTTTCCCCATTGCTTGTTTTTGTCAGGTTTGTCAAAGATCAGATAGTTGTAGATATGTGGCATTATTTCTGAGGGCTCTGTTCTGTTCCATTGGTCTATATCTCTGTTTTGGTACCAGTACCATGCTGTTTTGGTTACTGTAGCCTTGTAGTATAGTTTGAAGTCAGGTAGCATGATGCCTCCAGTTTTGTTCTTTTGGCTTAGGATTGACTTGGCATGGGGGCTCTTTTTGGGTTCCATATGAAGTTTAAAGTAGTTTTTTCCAATTCTGTGAAGAAAGTCATTGGTAGCTTGATGCGGATGGCATTGAATGTATAAATTACCTTGGGCAGTATGGCCATTTTCATGACATTGATTCTTCCTACCCATGAGCATGGAATGTTCTTCCATTTGTTTGTATCCTCTTTTATTTCCTTGAGCAGTGGTTTGTAGTTCTCCTTGAAGAGGTCCTTCATATCCCTTGTAAGTTGGATTCCTAAGTATTTTATTCTCTTTGAAGCAATTGTGAATGGGAGTTCACTCATGATTTGGCTCTCTGTTTGTCTGTTATTGGTGTGTAAGAATGCTTGTGATTTTTGCACATTGATTTTGCATCCTGAGACTTTGCTGAAGTTGCTTATCAGCTTAAGGAGATTTTGGGCTGAGACGATGGGGTTTTCTGCATATACAATCATGTCATCTGTAAACAGGGACAATTTGACTTCCTCTTTTCCCAATTGAATACCCTTTATTTCCTTCTCCTGCCTGATTGCCCTGGCCAGAACTTCCAACACTATGTTGAATAGGAGTGGTGAGAGAGGGCATCCTCTCTTGTGCCAGTTTTCAAAGGGAATGCTTCCAGTTTTTGCCCATTCAGTATGATATTGGCTGTGGATTTGTCATAGATGGCTCTTATTATTTTGAGATATGTCCCATCAATACCTAATTTATTGAGAGTTTTTAGCATGTAGTGTTGTTGAATTTTGTCAAAGGCCTTTTCTGCATCTACTGAGATGATCATGTGGTTTTTGTCGCTGGTTCTGTTTATATGCTGGATTACGTTTATTGATTTGCATATGTTGAATCAGCCTTGCATCCCAGGGATGAAGCCCACTTGATCATGGTGGATAAGCTTTTTGATGTGCTGCTGGATTCGGTTTGCCAGTATTTTATTGAGGATTTTTGCATTGATATTCATCAGGGATATTGGTCTAAAATTCTATTTTTTGGTTGTGTCTCTGCCAGGCTTTGGTATCAGGATGATGCTGGCCTCATAAAATGAGTTAGGGAGGATTCCCTCTTTTTCTATTGATTGGAATAGTTTCAGAAGGAACGGTACCAGCTCCTCCTTGTACCTCTGGTAGAATTTGGCTGTGAATCCGCCTGGTCCTGGACTTTCTTTGGTTGGTAAGCTATGAATTATTGCCTCAATTTCAGAGCCTGTTATTGGTCTATTCAGAGATTCAACTTCTTCCTGGTTTAGTCTTGGGAGGGTGTATGTGTCAAGGAATTTATCCATTTCTTCTAGATTTTCTAGTTTATTTGCATAGAGGTGTTTATAGTATTCTCTGATGGTAGTTTGTATTTCTGTGGGATCGGTGGTGATAGCCCCTTTATCATTTTTTATTGTGTCTATTTGATTCTTCTCTCTTTTCTTCTTTATTAGTCTTGCTAGCGGTCTATGACTTTTGTTGATCTTTTCAAAAAACGGGCTCCTGGATTCATTGATATTTTGAAGAGTTTCTTGTGTCTCTATCTCCTTCACTTCTGCTCTGATCTTAGTTATTTCTTGCCTTCTGCTAGCTTTTGAATGTGTTTGCTGTTGCTTCTCTCGTTCTTTTAATTGTGATGTTAGGCTGTCAATTTTAGATCTTTCCTCCTTTCTCTTATGGGCATTTAGTGCTATAAATTTCCCTCTACACACTACTTTAAATGTGTCCCAGAGATTCTGGTATGTTGTGTCTTTGTTCTCATTGGTTTCAAAGAACATCTTTATTTCTGCCTTCATTTCATTATGTACCCAGCAGTCATTCAGGAGCAGGTTGTTCAGTTTCCGTGTAGTTGAGTAGTTTTGAGTGAGTTTCTTAATCCTGAGTTCTAGTTTGATTGCACTGTGGTCTGAGAGACCGTTTGTTATAATTTCTGTTCTTTTACATTTGCTGAGGAGTGCTTTACTTCCAAGTATGTGGTCAATTTTTGAATAAGTGTGGCGTGGTGCTGAGAAGAATGTATATTCTGTTGATTTGGGTGGAGAATTCTGCAATGTCTATTAGGTCGCTTGGTGCTGAGCTGAGTTCAATTCCTGGATATCCTTGTTAACTTTCTGTCTCATTGATCTGTCTAATGTTGACAGTGGGGTGTTAAAGTCTCCCATTATTATTGTATGGGAGTCAAAGTCTCTTTCTAGGTCTCTAAGGACTTGCTTTATGAATCTGGGTGCTCCTGTATTGGGTACATATATATTTAGGATAGTTAGCTCTTCTTGTTGAATTGATCCCTTTACCATTATGTAATTGCCTTCTTTGTCTCTTTTAATCTTTGTTGGTTTAAAGTCTGTTTCATCAGAGACTAGGATTGCAACCCCTGCCTTTTTTGTTTTCCATTTGCTTGGTAGATCTTCCTCCATCCCTTTATTTTGAGCCTATGTGTGTCTCTGCATGTGAGATGGGTTTCCTGAATACAGCACACTGATGGGTCTTGACACTTTATCCAATTTGCCAGTCTGTGTCTTTTAATTGGAGCATTTAGTCCATTTACCTTTAAGGTTAATATTGTTATGTGTGAATTTGATCCTGTCATTATGATGTTAGCTGGTTATTTTGCTCGTTGGTTGATGCAGTTTCTTCCTAGCCTCAATGGTCTTTACAATTAGGTATGTTTTTGCAGTGGCTGGTACCAGTTGTTCCTTTCCATGTTTAGTGCTTCCTTCAGGAGCTCTTTTAGGGCAGGCCTGGTAGTGACAAAATCTCTCAGCATTTGCTTGTCTGTGAAGCATTTTATTTCTCCTTCACTTGTGAAGCTTAGTTTGGCTGGATATGAAATTCTGGGTTGAAAATTCTTTTCTTTAAGAATGTTGAATATTGGCCCCCACTCTCTTCTGGCTTGTAGAGTTTCTGCCGAGAGATCCGCTGTTAGCATGATGGGCTTCCCTTTGTGGGTAACCCGACCTTTCTCTCTGGCTGCCCTTAACATTTTTTCCTTCATTTCAACTTTGGTGAATCTGACAATTATGTGTCTTGGAGTTGCTCTTCTCCCTGAGTATCTTTGTGGCATCAATTTCAAGGTGAGAAATAACTGTGAATCAGTTAGGAAATAGAAAGCAATTCTGTCCACCTCAAAACAATACTTAAGAAGGATGTAAATAAATTTCACCTAGAGTCATATGACAACGAGTCAGTTTCAACCTTGGATGTCAATACTCCAGCTCACGATTTGAAATATACTCCAAGCTGAAGTTTTTTGAAGTGCAGGCTTCTGTTATGTAGCAAATGTCTGAGAAGGGTTATTATCTGAATACTTGCTGGGTATTCAATGGAATAATACAACGAAGGCACAGTTTCTCTCTCACTAATAAAGATGATGGAATAAGCATCTCAGCCATGCTGTTTGGAAATTATGGTCTCTTAACATGAAAGGATTTGGTTTGGGAAGTATAATTCTAAAAACACTAAGCATCAGGTGCAATTCAGAAACTTTCATGACTTTATGAATTACCAGTGCTATTAGAGGAGAATGACACCCTAGCCTTTTGCTTCCCTTACTTTATAAACTTCAAGATTCTAGAGACTCATAGGTATGTAACAAGAAGATATTAGAGAACATGAACAGAAAAGGGTGAGAAAAAAATCAATTCATCTCTATTATTATTGTCTTTATGAGAAAAACAAGTTGATCATCTCATTCCTTTACCCCAGTAATGGCCTCTTAATTTCAATTACATATATTTCCTAATGCAAATTTTCTGAGAATGTGCTGAATTTTCTCTGTCCACTATGATGTGGAAGTGTACCCACATTATCATAGGATGTGTTTCCAATCCTTGTCTCTCCTATTTGCACATAGATTAATTAATTTTAATCCTTCCTTGGTGCTTTTAATGTCTCAAATGAGACTATAATGCCAACAGGTTGATTCTCACCCTTTTATTAACAAATGTGAAACATATGTAAGTCATAATCACCTGCTTGTTCTTAGCCCAGAGCAACCAGAAAGCCTTTTCAAGATATCTACTCTTCCCTTCCTAGGCACTCACCAAAAGGGAGTACTAGACTCAGCCATTTTAACCCTGTGAATCTGGTCCAGATTTAATTATTCAGGGTTTCTATTTCCTACATTCTGTCATAAATCCAGCCTGGAATTTATCTAATAGATATTTTAAGCTAAATGTTTAAATAAAAATGACCAACACTAATGAAGACTTCCAATGAGAGAGTAATGTTAGACTGAGTCAAGAACTCAGTTTCAATGTTTGTTTAGAAAGCGGCATATTATACATAGATACTCCCTGTTTTAATGAATTTTCTGCGTTAAACGCTCTTCCAGACAACCACAAATTTCTAGTTGTAGACACTTATGTGAGTACATTGATTACAGATATGTGAATCCAAGATGCTTTTCAGAATAAAACTAATTGTCCCCTTATCCAGCTAAACGATAGCCTGGCAGGCAGAAGAACAACTTAATTAAAATTCTCGCAAGTAATAATTTATTCTTAGGATCATTGGTCACAGAGAACCACGAGAAATTTCTCAGTTGCTCATTCCACATCTAAGAATGTGTTGATAGTTAATATGGGTTTTCTTATTTAAGAATAATGATTTTAATATGATAACGAATGAAAGCAACCTCCAAATTGTACTGATTTTTGTTATTACTGGTGATTGGGATTGCTCTTCGTACAGCCACCTTCTCCTTATCATCACATTGTGACCTGCTGAGACAGGGGCCCTAAACAACACAATTTTGAGGGGCCCCGTGACACTGTTGCTATTGCAGTATCATCTTCTTTTCATAGCAGTTATCACTACCATATATTTTCTTGTTTACATATTTATATATTGATTTACTGTCTCTCTCCACTCTAGAATGTAAGCTCCATGAAAGCAGGAACATTTCTGTCTTGTTCACCACTGTATTCCCAGTAAGTAAATCTGTCTAGAATTAGCTGGGAGCTCAATTAACATCAAGGTATCATTTTGATGCACTGGGACATATTGCTTCTAGAACTTAGAGAACATTTGTTTTATTTAATGGTATTAATTAATATCTGTCTTTTAGATATAAACTTTTAAAATCCCTTGGAGGCAGGCATTTTCATGTTAAAACATTAAGAGTAAGGAAACATCTGTGTGTCTTGTTTGCATATATATTGTAACCATATTGTCATAGACTGAATTGTGTCTCCCCCACAAAAAAAAAAAATTAATATGTTGAAGCTGTAACTGCCAATATGGTAATTTTTGAAGAAAGGACCTTTTAGAAGGTTTTATCATAGTCCATTTTCTGTTGCCTATAACAGAATACCTGAAACTGAATAATTTATAATGAAAAGAAATTTATTTCTTACAATCATGGAGGCTGGGATATCTAAGGTCAACGGGGTGCATCTACTGAGAGCATTCTTGCTGGTGGGGACTCTCTATGGTGTTCTCTGGCAGTGCAGAGTATAACATGGCGAGGGGGCTAAGAGTGCTAAAATGTTAATATACTAGATGAGGTCTCTCTTCCTCTTCTATAAAGCCACCAGTTTCCCTCCTATGATAACCCATTAATCTGTTAATCCATGAATGGATTAATCCATTCATGAGGGAAGGGCCCTCTTAAAAGTTCCACTGCTCAATTGTGCCACTTTGGGGATTAAATTTCAACATGTTTTGCAGGGGATATTCAAATCATAGGAGAAGGTAATTAAGTTTAAATAAAGTCGTAGGGGTGAGACCCGTAGTGTGATGGGATTACTGCTCTTTGTCCTTATAATAAGAAACACCTAAAAGCTCCCCTTCCTACCCCTTGCCATGTGAGGACACAGGAAGAAGGTAGCCATTTCAAGCCAGGAAGTTCTCACCAGAAAGTGAATCTGCCTGCACCTTGATTTTGCACTTCCAACTCTCCAGAACTGTGAGAAAATGAATTTATGTTGTTTAATCCACCCAGTTTATGATATTTTCTTCTGGCATCCTGAGCTAATACACATACAAATCAACATACAATTTTTAAAATGACTACATTAGAAATTTCTCTATTTTTCATGCTCCATTGCTCAGGCCTTTTTATGCTTATGCTATCGATGGCATTTGAAAGCTGTGGTGATGGGGTTGAAAGGAGAAGGGAAACCACAGTTCTGTGAGATCAGAGCTGAAATTGCCACGGTGTAAAGTTTTTTCCTCTACATGCTTCATCATTTATTATGTGCTATGTTCCAAAAATAGGTGGCATTGAATGTACAAGGGAAAGCATATTGGTTGTCATTATAGGATCACTGCTTCAATTTTAGATTGGTCAAGGGGATAGACTTCAGGGAGGAGCTTTGTCTTCAACTGGCACTAATATTCTCTTAGATCAAGAAAATGGATGGTGCAGTGTTTCACCACTCTTTGGACCTTAGAAAAGCAGGTTAACACCAAAATCGTGACCACAAATAATTCCCATGTTGCTCTGTGTTAACTCTGACTAAGTGCTTACGCTGTTAAATAACTTAGTAACACTTCCAAATATTTGGGAACCTAAGTTTTATTTTATTTTGTTTTCAAGAAGTGAAAGCTACAGGTATTTATGAGCATGAAAAAAAGTCATTGTTGCCAAAGGTTCACCAAAATCATGATTATTTTTAAATGATGTTGATCATTTTAAAATGCTCCATATACTAATAATCTAAATTAATGAATTAAGCAGGTGCTTACATTGCTTTAATTAACAACACCTGCATTATAGCAACATTGTAGGAGCTTTTTGTGACATCATGTATTAAGAACATGTTGCCAATGCATTTTATAACATGCATTATAAAAAGTTATTAAAAGATGTGACTACATCTTAGAATCATTCAATAGATATTAATAAAGAATGTATGATTATGCATTAAAAGTTCATTATCATTCAAACAGATGTTAGACATCAAACGTCAATGAGCCACTCAATGGCATAAATAGTACAGTAGTAGTTAGCAGTTTCCCTGAGTGTGTGTTAAATATCCTTCCCTTTATTATTTTGGAAATAGTCTCCATCTAAATGGTAGCTCCTGAGTCTCCTTGTGTGCTACCCAAATATTAACAGGAAAATAGACCAAACAAACCAAAAAACTTTAACTGCCTCAAATCTTACCTCTGAGTTTTAAACTATAGCTACATGTAATTCATGTATTAGATACTGATGATGGTTGAATTTTTCACGCCAGATATAACTATTATAGGAAATTGGTTAATTTCCTTTAAATTCTCTTGATTACATTACCAAATATATTTATTGAAACAGAATAATTCTCTGAAGTCCTAGTGGGATTCCATAGCCCATTAATTGCTTTGAAATCACATGAATCAGCTTGCAACTTGCTTTTGGTGTAGGTAGCAGTGCTCAATGGAATGGCTAAAAACGGAGCCACTTAGTTCATAAATCATTTGTTTTACCAAATATCAATTTACAAAATAATGCTAAGGAATCTTCTGTAGATGAAACAGGCTGAAAATAGATATGGCATTTTTAGAATTAGAGATTCTTGTACAAATCAATAAAAAGTCCTGAAATATGTTCTTTTTAGAAGGTAAGAAATTCAAAGACTTTGTAAACTACAGCTATGATGATTAATAAGCTATGAAAGCAAACAAATTACAGAATTAACATTATTTCTCTCTCTGTGATATAGAATACAAAATTATGAATAACTAAAATTTAGCTACAATTCTTTTACTTTTATTAAATGGAATCCTAGAATGTGATCTCTCCCCACCCCCAGCAAGCCTATTTGCAATGAAGTTTGGATTCTTAGGCCAACCAAACAAGCACTATTGATACCACCTTTCATTGTGAGTAGATAAATCTCTTAAACTTTCTGGTTTTTCTCAGTTAAAATAGATTCATTATTTCTAGCCTAAATCCCTTAGCTTTTAAACTAAGACAGAGATTTACTACAGCTCCTTTATTTATTTATTTATTTATTTAGCCAAGAAATGCTTATTAACTTCTTTTTCTCATCTTAGGCAAACAAACCCAGAGGACAACCATGTTTCCTATCAAATAGATCCTGTTCTTAAAGCCTTCTTTCATATAAAAGAAGGCTAAATCCTCAAAGAACCCAAATCTTTAAACCTGTTTGGTTTGTACCATCTCAGGCAACATTTCATGGTGAGGAATATGCCATGGGGTGAGTTGACCTTGAAATTTTCTTATTTTAAAAACAGAAGTATATATATATTATATATCTATATATAATATAGATATATTTGCTTTTGCCCTTTTTTCTTTCCTCCCTTCTTCTCCCCATATATAGTCATATATATATATATAGTTATATGTATATATGCTGCTTAAAAATATGGATTCCTAAAACTATATTTTTTAATCCAAGAAAGTTATTACATATAATTATGATTTACAGTTTTCCAAACCCAAGTAGCATTTTGCTCTTGATGCATAGAAAACACCATAGCTTATAAAGTATGTGTACATTGTATGCTTCATATTATAGAATTATTAGCTAATGATAATTGAGCAATTGTTATATTTGGTAGTGTTTCAAGTGCTTTATATTATAAATAATTTAATCCTCCTATCAACCTGATAAGATAGACAGCAGTGTAGTTTCCACTTAATAGTTGAGGACACTGAGACACTAACTTGTTAAGTAACTCTAAAGGCTCATAGCTAATAAGTAAAGGAATCAAAATTTGAATCCAGGGTAGAGACAAAGCCAAAGCTTACAAGATATGCAATTGTGCCCTGAATTTCCAGCCTTGAATAAGTTTAAACCCATTTCTTGGGGCTTCTATGTGAAAAAAGAAAGAAAGAAAGAAAAGACTCAACACAGTGGATCGGTTTTACTTTAAAAATTTATCTCAAATTTCAGATGGGTTCTCAACATGGTCCAGGAATTCTGCAATTCTTGTATAATAAACTTCGTCTCTTGCTTTCTGAGATGATGATTTCATAATTTTTCCTCTCTTTAAATGTTCTACATCAGCTTTTCTCTCCCAGTTAGTTTTATTATTGCCTTTTTTTCTAAAAAAAAAAAAAAAAAAAAAAAAGGAGAGGGAGAGAAATAGTAGAGTAGCACTTTCTCATTTCCCACCAACTCTGTGAACATTTATGCCTTTCTTCTCCTAATATAATTAAGCAAAAGGTTCTCTTTATTGCAAGAAAACTTTCTCTGTGAGGGTGCTGGATTTGAGTCCTACCCACCAGCTTCGCCCAGCACCCTCTCAGCTGAATTGGCAATATCTTCCTCTCTAATAGACCACCCTTGGTACCTTGCAACCTACTCTGGCCTTTTCATCCTAAAGATAATACAGACTTCCACAGAACCTCTTGTCCAGTCCATCTTCCATACCATTTCTCTGATCCTCTTCACAGAAAATTACTCCTCTTGATTTCTCTACTTCCTCATATTTATTCTCTTATCATCCTAATTCATTGTGGCTCTGTTTCCATCATGCAACAAAAATGGCATCTGGCCACGGTGCTAAATCCACTGGACACCTTTCTGTCCCTGTCATATTCCACCTCTCAGCAATATTCCACATGGTTATTTACTCTTTTGAAAACTCATCTCTCTAGCATTCCATAATGCCACCTTTGTCTAGTTTTCCTCCTGCCTCTCTAAAGCATTTTATTAATCTCCTTTACAGGTTCTGCTGTCTCAACCCAACTTATTATCTAAACAATGGCATTTCCCACAATTTTTTCTGAATCTTTTTCCTCTATTTTCTCCTTACCCTCTTCTTAAGACCTTCAACATATTAAACTGTCTTTATATGTTTGTGGTGGACTGAATAATGGCCCCTCCAAAAGATATCTCTATCCTAATCCATGGAATCTGTGAATGATACCTTATATGGCAAAAAGGGAAGTTTCAGCTATGACTTAATTAAGAAACTTGAGATGGTGCAATTATACTGGATTCTCCATGTGGGGCCTAAATGCAATCCCACATGTCCTTATGAAAGGAAAGCAGAGGAAGATTTAGGGCATACAGAAGGAGAGAATGTGATATGAGTACAGAGGCAGAGATTGGAGTCATGCAGCCACAAGCTAAGGAATACTGTAGCCCCAGGAAACTGGAAGATGCAAGGGACAGATTCTCTAGCAGAGGCTCCAGAGGGAGCATGGCCTTATTGACACCTTAATTCTTCCTTGATTTCAAGCTTCTGGTCTCCAGTACAGAGAATAATGTCTGTACTGTGGTTCTAAATCTCTTGTAATTTGTTACAGCAGCCACAGTAAACTATTGCAAAGCTAAAGGTTACTAACTTAAATATACAATCCAAATTTCTTTTCTGAGCTTTAGAATCATAAAGTAGTATCTTCTGGCCTTCGCCATGTGAATACCTTAGAGTTATTTCATCTGTAACATGTCCACCATGGAATTCTTATCTCTGTATCCCTTCCCCATGCTTGCTCCTTTCCCAATCTGCCTGTGTCGATCAACGGTATTGTCATCCACCCAACATCTCAGGCTAGAAATTGCATCCCTCCCTTGATTCTTGTCATCTTCTTGCCTTAGAAATGCATGGAGGGATCCCCACATCTAATCTGTCAACACATCGTGGCACCTTTTTGGAATCTCAGGTACATTGAATTGGCTTAATCACGACACTCTCTTATCATTTGTCCATGCGTGGTTTATTTTTATTTATAAGCACACCTCATTTTATTGTACTTCACTTTATTATACTTCACAAATATTGATTTTTTACAAATTGAGGGGTTGTAGCAACCCCTTAGTGAGGAAGCTGGTGGGTAGGACTAGAATCCAGCACCCTCACAGCATCCTGCATACAGTAAATCTATTGGTTCCATTTTTCTAACAGAGTGTGCCTTCTTCATGTCCCATGGTCATATGTTGGTAAGTCTCACAATATTCCATACTTTTTCACGATTATTATATTTGTTTTTGGTGATCTGTTATCTGTGATCTTGGATGTTACTGTTGGCATTGTTTAGGGATGCCACGAACCACACTCATCTAAGAGGGTGAACCTCATCATAAATACGTGCGTTCTGACTGTTCCACCACCTGTTGTTTCCCCCTTTCTCCCTCTCCCTGGGCCTCCCTATACCCTAAGACACAACAGTATTGAAATTAGGCCAATATATCACCCTTGGTGGCCTTTAAGTGTTCAAGTGAAAGGAAGAGCCACACATCTCTCACTTTAAATCAAAAGCTATACATGATTAAGCTTAGTGAGGAAGACATGTCAAAAGCCAAGATATGCTGAAAGCTAAGCCTCTCGTGCCAGTTAGCCAAGTTGCAAATACAAAGGAAAAGTTTTTGAAATAAATTAAAGTGCTACTTCAGTGTACACATGAATGATAAAAAAGCAAAACGGTCTTATTGCTGATAATGGAGAACGTTTCAGTGGTCAGGATAGAAGATCAAACCAACCAAAACTTTCCCTTATGTCAAAGCCTAATCCAGAGCAAGACCTTAAATCTGTTCAATTCTATGAAGGTTGAGAGAGGTGAGGAAGCTGAAGAAGAAAAGTCTGAAACTAGCAGAAGTTAGGCCATGAGGTTTAAGAAAAGATGCCATCTCCACAACATAAAAGGGCAAGGTGAAGCAGCAAGTGCTGTTGTAGAAGCTGCAGCAAGCTATCCAGAAAATGTACTTAAAATAACTGATTAAGGTGGTGGCATTAAAACAACAGATTTTTCACGGTAGAAGAAACAGCCTTCTATTGAAAGAAGCTGCCAGCTAAGATTTTCATAGCTAGAGAGTAGAAAGTCAATGCTTGGCATCAAAGCTTCAAAGGACAGGCTGACTTTCTTGGTAGGGACTAATGCAGCTGGTGATTTTAAGTTGAAGTCAATGCTTGTTCCTCATTGTGAAAATCCTAGGGCCCTTAAGAATTATGCTAAACCTACTCTGCTCCTTCTCTATAAATAGAACAACAAAGCCCAGATGAGAGCACATCTGTTTAGAGCATGATTTATTGAATATTTTAAGCCCACTGTTGAGGCCTACTGCTCAGAAAAAAAAATTACTTTCAAAATATTATTGCTTATTTACAATATGCATAGTCACCCAAGTGCTCTGGTGGAGATGTACAAGGAGATGAATGTTTTTATGCCTGCTTTCAAAATATCCATTTTGCAGCCAGGGGATCAAGGAGTAATTTTGACTTTCAAGTCTTATTATTTTAAAAAAATGTTTTATAAGTCTGTAGCTGCTGTAAATAGGAATTCCTCTGACAGATCTCAGCAAAGTAAATTGAAAATCCTCTAAATTTGTTTTTACCATTTTAGATGCTCTTAAGAACATTTGTGATTCATGGGACGAGGTTAAAATATCAATACCAAACAAGAATTTGGAAGAAGTTGATTCCAACCCTTGTGGATGACTTTGAGGTGTTCAAGACTTCAGTGGAGGAAGTAATTTCAAATGTGGTGTAGATAACAAGAGAGCTAGAATTAAAAGTGGAGCCTGAAGATGTGACTGAATTGCTCTAATTTGTTAAATGATAAAATTTTATCAGATAAGTTGATTTTTATCAATGGTGAAGAAAGTGGTTTCTTGAGATGGAATCTAGGCTGGGTGTGGTGGCTCACACCTGTAATTCCAGCACTTTGGGAGGCCGAGGGGGGCTGATTACTTGAGGTCAGGAGTTTGAGACCAGCCTGGCCAACATGGTGAAACCCCATCTCTACTAAAAATAATTAGCCGGGCGTGGTGACACGCACCTGTAATTCCAGCTACTTGGGAGGCTGAGGCAGGAGAATCACTTGAACCTGGGAGGTGGAGGCTGCAGTGAACTGAGATTGCACCACGGTACTCCAGCCTGAGCGACAAGAGCAAAACTCTAGCTCAAAAAACAAACAAAGAAACCAACAAACAAGGAGATGGAATCTATGGCTGGTGAAGATGCTGTGAACATTCTTAAAATGGCAACAAAGGATTTAAAATACTGCATAAACTTAGTTGATAAAGTCGAGGCAGGGTTAGGGAGGAATATTTCCAATTTTGAAAAAAAGTTCTACTATGGATAAAATGCTATCAAACAATATTACATGCCACAGAGAAATCTTTTATGAAAGAAAAAGTCAATCTCTGTGGCAAACTTCATTATTGTCTTATTTTAAGAAATTGCCACAGCCACCCTAACCTTCAGCAACCACCACCCTCATCAGTCAGCAGCCATAAACATTGAGTCAAGACCCTCCACAAGAAAAAAGATAATGACTTGCCAAAGGCTCAGATGCTGGTTAGCAAGTTTTAGCAATAAAGTATTTTTAAATTAAGATATGTACATTGTTTCTTAGACATAATGCTAATATGTCTTAAACTTATTATTACTTAAAATTAAATTTCTATTAAAATAGATGACTGTATAAAATAGATTACTATTTACTGTATAAAATAGATTACTTTTTAAAAATTAATATGATATTGCTAAAATTTAAGCATATTTGTGTTGATATAGATTGTTTTTGCTATTGTCTAACTTCCATATGCACTGAGAAATCAGAAAATTTGTGTGACTTATTGTGATATTCACTTTATTGCAGTGGTCTGGAACTGAACACACAATATACCTGAAATATAACTGTAGTTAGTTTTCAAGTTTGTGGTTATCTAATAAGCACCTGTGAACCCAAAACAAACATCTGTGAACTCAAAATAAAACTTAAGACCAGAAAATAACCTCCATCTAATGCTTTTCTCTCTCATTGCATAAGCCTGTCTCACTCAACCTGAGCTAAACTATCATCTTGGATGCCATGTCTATCATTTTCTTGCTTTCCTTTTTAAAAACAGTTTTTTTTAAAAAACTCTGCATGTACATTATTCCAAAATAGTATATCTCGTTATTTTAGTTATTTTAATTTTATTTTTAAAGTGGTTTCATGTAGCTAAGAGTTGGACTTAAGTTTTTTTAAAAATTAATATTATATTGCTAAAATTTAAGCATATTTGTGTTGATATAGATTTTTGTTTTTGCTATTGTCTAACTTTTCACTATGTGAGTGACTATGCCACAGTTTGTTTGTCAGCTCTTTTGATGATGTGCACCTCCATTTTTTCCATATGTTCCTTTTGTAATTAATGCTGCTATAATCATTCTTATACATGTCTACTATTGTATAGGTGCATACGTTTGGGCATTATATATTTAGTGCCAAAATTACTGAGTCATTTTCTCATAACTTTTGTTTCCTAAGCACCCCTTCTCTCCATCTGTACCACCCATTCATCTATATCTTCATCATCTCTACCTAGTCTCCTACAGTCTCTTCCCTGGTATATTTTCTGGTTTCTCCTGGCAATTTAGGCTTCACAATGCAGCCAATGTAATAGTCTTTATGAAGAGAATGAGATTTTTTTCCTCTCAAATTAAAACTCCTCACTCATTTCTTATTATTTTTCAACAAAATCTAAACTCCTTGCAAAGGCCAAGTGGCCCTTTCCTGCCCACTGCTCCAGCCTTCCAGCATTCCTTCCCTGCTCTCTTTTTACATGCCAATCACACTGATGTCCTCTCAGTTGCGCAAATACCCCAGGCTCTTTCCCACCTCAGTTACCTCATATGTGCATTTCTTTATACCTGAAATATTTCCTCCTGCTTCTAATGTGGCCAAGCCTTCTCTTCATTCAAGTCTTATCATAAAGCTCATCTTCCAGAAAATTGTTTCCTCACCACCTGTTCATTGTTAGATCCTTGTTTATTATCTTTTGCAAAATCCTTTCGTTTCCTTCATAATATGTGCCGCAAGTTGTAATACTTATTTCTGCCACTTTTTTTGCTATACTATAAAGTCTGAAAAGGCAAGGACTGATTTTATCTTCTTATAGTGGCCTAGCAAACTGTTTGCCGTACACAGATCAAACGATATGAAATGAACAGTATATACTTCTTTCTTACTATAAAAAGGCAGCATCACATGATCATCTGGTTAAAACTAAGAATAGTTGGCACTCAATGAAAAATTCTTAAAGTCCTAGCTAAATGAAGGAGTGGATGGATACACACGCTATAGGGTAAGGACAGTGGCAGCACAGTGTACGTTGGGAATTCTCGAAGAAAGGCACCTCATGAGTTAGAATGCTGTTATGTTTTGACTCCACCTTTCAACACTCCACACAAGAATAATCAAGTTTGAGACAACTTGGTGAAGTAACAACTTCCACTTTTATTGCCTGCTCGAACATCCTAGCACCTGAAGACACTTAGCCCAATTAACAATGTTGATCAATCTCCTCCACACAATGGAAACCAGTTCTGTAATTTTTTAATTTATCCATTGTAATTTTATTCACTATCTTATTTCTTTTATTAATTTTAACTACATTCTTGTGTCCCGACCTGCCTCAAACAAGTTCCAATTGCCATAGCGATTCTTTAAACATATGGTATTTTTTTATTCAGTTTATTCTGAGTCTAATAGTCAAAGTCTGCCCCCTGTTCTTACCAGCCCATACTTTCTCCTTTT